>NC_000004.12:82860774-83012290 GCF_000001405.40 Homo sapiens | reverse complement strand
ACCAGCCAAATGTCATAATGTTCCCGAGGTGCACGGGGGAAGGGAGCGGGCCGGGACTTAGCTTGGCCAGCAACGGTAAACAACCAAGCAGAGTGCGGATGGACGGGGCCGTCAGTGGGGAAATGAAGTTTAAAGATGAAGTAATTGAGAACACTTTATACTCTCAGCATCTGGTAGTCTGCATATAAAAACAGCAATTGGGGTGGGTGGTGGACAGCCCTTGTTGAAGGCTGAATCTACCGACTTTTATATGGAGTTGCCATTGAAACAAGGTAGGGAAATGAAATGACTTTTTCAACTTCAACTTCAACCTTACTCTTCCTACACTAACTTAGACAGTAGAGTGGCCCTGTTCGCAGCCTTGAAATTCAGTTTGCCCAGAGCTTATGTTGTGGTTGAATGATACAGAATTCAGCTTTTGGATGGTTAACTCTTTCTAAAATTGACAAAGGCAGCCAGTTTCCTTTTTTTTTTTTTTTAATGCTGATCTCTTCAGAAGCCTTGCAGCTTATGTTTTGTTATTTTTTAAATGATTAAGAATTACCTCTGTTCTCTTTTGGTTACTTATTCAACTGACTGATGACAAGAGCTGGTAACTCTTACCTACCTAGTAGGTAGCTCTAGGATCTTGTTCTGAAGCAAGCTGTTTATTTTTACTGTACAGAACAAATATATCAGCAGCAGATGGTTTTTTTTTAATTTGATGACTTAGATCCTAAAAAAACATTTGGCAAATAATTTTAGCTAAGAGTTATATTTTCAATATTTTAGAAATCGATCATTCATGAATGTTTCTACAATTAGTTCAATCATTTCAAATCTAGTTGCGCTTTGACGTCTTAAACCGATGACAGATTGGAAGTCGCAGTGTTCATGGACAGAAATGACCAGATAAATTAAGTTGGAGAGGAAGATAGCTCAGAACTTTATTTTTTTAAATTAGATATTTTGACCACTTCATCTGCATGAGGATTGCTGCCTGTAATTGACAAAGGTGTCAAAGGTCGAACATGCATATGGAAATAGCTCATCCTGTCAAAGTAGTTCTGCGGGTGGGGTAAAATGTCAAAGTTGGTGAATGACATTAAAGGTCTTTCACAGTGTTTTTAGTGCCTGAGATAGCCACAGTGAATGAAACGCATTCCACCATCTCTCTCAAGTTGCTGCTCTGAAAATGAAAGAGTTTGGGTTCTTTATTGTCCTTATGCCACCCTCCGCATGGCTTTTGGTCTTGCAAACAAAAATATGCCGGACTTGGGACCCCGCAGGTGGCGCGACTTCCTTTGGCGTCCCTGCGGGGGCCCGTGCTCCGCCCGGGGGTGAAAGGTCTCGGCGTAGCCCGTGTGCACTTGCACGGCCCTTGTGCGTTTGAAGGTTGGCGGGGCGGCGGGAGGCTTCCCCGGATATGTGGGTGTGCGCCTCCCGGGTGGGGCGGGCGGGGAGGGGAGGAGGAGGAAGGGGGAGGTTACTGGTGGTGGCGGCGGCGGCGGCGGCCCGGGCTCCGGCTGTCGGGGAAGCTGCTGAGCTGTGATGGTGATGACGAGGTGAAAATGGCGGATCTTTCGAAATACAATCCCGGCCCCTGACATACCAGAGGCGGCGGCGACGGCGACGTCGCCACCCCGGCTCCCTTCTCGGTCCCCGGGTACCCTGGAGCGCTCCAGTTTGGACAAACTGGGAAAGGAAGCTGCTGGCCAGAGCTATCGTGCACGGGCAAAACAAGCCCCGCCGGGGCTCGGGATTGCCCAGGACCTTCTGGAGCCCCTACCTCGGAGCCCGAGGGAGGAGAAAGCGGCAGCCGCTGGAGGTAGAGGAGGATGGGGTACCCGAGGGCTTCTCTGTCCGGAGATCTCTTTATTTGGGGGGATGGGGGTGGGTGGGGAAAGAATTGCGCGGTGGATCAAGGAATGACTTGTCCGGAGTGCGAAGAATCAGTAGCCTCGTCATGACATCAACATTATTCTTTGAGTGTTAAGAGGGCTCCAGTTTGCTCTTATACCTAAGGCTGCTGCTGAGGCCTAGAGGAACCGCTAGCACTTATCATGATTTCCTGATATAATGTTTAAAACAGCCACTCTGGCGGGTGTTGCTTTGATGGTGTTCAGCAGTTCTTGGGGTTGTACGTTTCTTTAGGGAGGCAGAGCATTGGCATTTTATCTGCATTTAAGATCTGTGTCTTAGATCCTAGTCTGTAACTTGTTGGGTTGTGGATGTTCACATTTTATAGAATAGGGACCAGTTTTGTAAGAATTAGAAAAAAAATTTTTAATGCTCTGTTATCCTTAGAGTAACTAACCTCTTTGCCCCTGCCATTTGGCATATAACAATTGAGATACTCTCAGTTATATTTTATACTCATGCTTTTCAGGGAAGTTCTTCTCTATACTCACCCTCCTGCCCCCGCCAACCTAGTTCATGAATTCAGAGAGTAAAGTTATGAAAAATTTTGCTGTAGATTTTATAATGCAAATGAAATACAGCTCTAGGAGCTCTCTTTTGGTCCTGAGTTTTACCTTCATTGTTAAGAAGGAGAGTTGCGATGGGGTGATGCAAGCATTTGTTGTGAGTACATTAAGTTGGGAAAAATAAATTGAGACCTCTGTTATTTCTAAATCACTAAATGCTGGAGTGATTAGCCTAGCCCTTTGTTTAGAGAGCTGGATTGATTGACTATAACAGCCACTGTTTTATTAGGTTATCTGAAGACCCATGTTAAGTTTTAGGTTATGCTGAAAGATCCGTAAGGAGTCTGTCTCCTTGCACACAACACTAGTGTTACAGAAAAGTTACATGTGAATCAAATTTTTAGGCTGGGCAAAAAAATTTTTATACATTAATTTGGACCCTATGCTTTTCCCCCAGCTTTTTTGGGTCAATGACATTGAGTGTATAATGAACAGAAGGATTAGTATTGAGGAATGCCCATGGGTAATGTTTATGATTAGCCCTAAATTTCCGTATTCAAATTGTCTACAGAGAGTATATGTGATATTATTTCCTTATTCAAATTGTCTACAAAGAGTATATGTAACACACTGTGCCATAGTGTGTCATATATCACAAATTTTGTAGTTTACTTAGAGGGGAAATATTTTGTGTGAATAGGTGTGTATAGTTTGTAGGTCTGGCTTTCACTTACTAGAAGAATAAGAGACCCAAAAAAATTTTTAGGAGAAATACCTTAGAGGTACTCAGAAGGTTTAATGATGACGATAATGATTATTTTTTAAAAATAATTTGTCTGATGCTGTATTATTCAGTAGGTATTTGGTTTTGTCTTTTTAAAATTACAGTTTTTATGTTGCAGTTATTTGACCCATGCCTTATAGCTGCTGACTCAGTAGTAAGACTAAGAATTTTAAAAATAATTAAAATAGGGAGATTAAAAAGCTTTTTCATTGGCTTTCTTTTAATCACAGAGGGCTATTGTCTCTTTGTGATTCTTTGTGATTGTCTTTAAAGACCAGTTTTCAGATTGTCCTGGTTAGAACAATTGTGTATTAATAATTAAAAGTGTGTTAGAAATGAAGCAAGAATTATACCACCAGAGATAGTCCAGTGTTCATTTTTTGGGGGAAGAGTATTATAGATTTTCACTACTTTTTCTTTATTTTTTTCCAAGGCAGAGTTTCACTCTGTCGCCCAGGCTAGAGTGCAGTGGCGCAGGCTAGAGTGCAGTGGCGCGATCTTGGCTCCCTGCAAGCTCCGCGTCCTGGGTTCACGCCATTCTCCTGCCTCAGCCCCCTGAGTAGCTGGGACTACAGGCGCCCGCCACCACGCCGGGCTAATTTTATTTGTATTTTTAGTAGAGACGGGGTTTCACCATGTTAGCCAGGAAGGTCTCCATCTCCTGACCTCGTGATCCACCCACCTCGGCCTCCCAAAGTGCTGGGATTACAGGCGTGAGCCACTGCGCCCGGCCGATTTTCACTACTTTTTCAAACATTATTATTGGGTGTCTATTAGGTGTCATATAGTATGCTAGGGATAGTGGATAAAATAACCTCAATATCATTACTTCAGGGAACTTTCAATTTAAGAATCACTGGAGGTGAAGTTGGAAGGATCAATTCAGTGGGGTCTTGCTGCAGAAGGCCTTAAGAGTTACAGAAAATGTAACTTAGTGTAGGATAATGACAATCTCAGAGATATACTTCAGAAGATAAATCTTGTACATGTAGCTTTTATGTAGAATGCATTGTAGGTAAGGGGAGATGGAGGTAAAAACACCATAGTAGGCTTCAGGAGTTGGAGATTTAGACACAATTGGTTACAGGAGGATAGAGTCATGGTGAAGGTGTAATCTGCATGATATATGACAGATTAATATTTCTATGGAAAGAGAGATGTCAAAGATAATACAATTGTAAGCCCTGGTGTTTGATAGAATTTTTTTTTTTTTAAATGAGATGGGTTCTCACTCTGTCACCCAGGTTAGGGTGCAGTGGATCTCAGCTCACTGCAACCTCCGCCTCCCAGGCTCAAGTGATAATCCCACCTTAGCCTGGTGAGTAGCTGGGACCACAGGCTTGGGCCCCCACGCTCGGTTAATTTTTTGTATTTTTGGTAGAGACAGGGTTTCACCATGTTGGCCAGGCTGGTCTCAAACTCCTGAGCTCAGGCGATCTACCTGCCTCACCCTCCCAAAGTGTTGAGGTTACAGGCGTTAGCCACCACGCCTGGCCATTTAGTAGACTATCGGATGCCGTAAAACCACAGAGAAATCAGGAGGAGAAGCTAATTTAGATAAACAGGAAAATAACTTTGAGTTACAGCATACCTCATAACTATCTTCACAGTAACCCTATAAGTAAATGAAGCTCAGAGATGTTATTATTGACTTGGATTACATGATAAGCAACTAGGAGAGCCATGATTTGGAAACAGGTCTTTTCTGATTTGAATCTCCATGTTTTTTCCATCATGTTAATCATAAGCATGAATAATATAAAGTTCCCTTTTTTATTTTTGTATATTTGTTCAGTTTTATAGGCTGGTTTATTCTCATTCTCGGGTACAATGCCTATCCCTTGGTACATAACCCTATTCATTGAGTATGTGAATAAATGAATAGCATTTATTTGTTATTTCACTCAGTTATATAATTTCTTTTTATTTATTTATTTATTTTTATGTATTTATTTGTTTTTTGAGACGGAGTTTCACTCTGTTGCCCAGGCTGGAGTGTAGTGGTGTGATCTCCGCTCACTGCAGCCTCCACCTCCCGGGTTCAAGCGATTCTCTTGCCTCGGCCTCTCGAGTAGCTGGGACTACAGGTGCCCGCCACCATGCCTGGCTACTTTTTGTATTTTTAGTAGAGACGGGGTTTGACCATGTTGGCCAGGCTGGTCTCAAACTCCTGACCTCAGGTTATCCACCAACCTCAGCCTCCCAAAGTACTAGGATTACCGATGTGAGCCATCACGCCTGGCCCATTTCTTTTTATTATGTTGTTAATTCACACCCTTTGAAATACATTGTGAAATTCATGTAATTATCATGTAGCAAAGACTTTATGGAAAGTAAGTTACAAAGTTAAGGAAGCTCACCTAAATAGAATGGGAGTAGTGCAGCAGATCTTCATAATACATTTAAATATAAGTGGTAGAAGCTCAAATTTAAATACTATATACTTGAACATAGACTTTAAAGGTATGTGACTAATTTGGAATTCACCTTTTTTTTTCAGCTTTTATTTTAGATTCAAGGCATACATGTGCAGGTTTGTTACCTGGGTATTATTGCATGATGCTGAGGTTTGGAGTATGAATGGTCCTGTCACCCAGGCACCGAGCATAGTATCCAATAGTTTTTCTTTTTTTTTTTCTTTTTTTTTTTTTTTGAGACGGAGTCTCGCTCTGTCACTCAGGCTGAAGTGCAGTGGTGCAATCTTGGCTCACTGCAACTTCTGCCTGCCAGGTCCAAGCGATTCTCCTGCCTCAGCCTCCCGAGTAGCTGGGACTACAGGCGCATGCCAGCATGTCTGGCTAATTTTTTGTATTTTTAGTTCAGATGGGGTTTCACCGTGTTAGCCAGGATGATACTGCTCTCCTGACCTCATGGTCCGCCCACCTCAGCCTCCCAAAGTCCTGGGATTACAGGCGTGAGCCACTGCACCCAGCCAATAGTTTTTCAACCATTGATCCCCTCCCTACGTCCCCAGTAGTCCCCAGTTTCCATTGTTGCCATCTTTATGTTCATAAGTACCTAGTGTTTAGCTCCCACTTATAAGTGAGAATATGCGGTATTTAGTTTTCTGTTTCTGTGTTAATTTGCTTAGGATAATGGCCTCCAGCTGCATCCATGTTGCTTCAAAGGACACGGTTTCTTTCTTTTTTTATGGCTACGTAGTATTTCATAGTGTATATGTACCACATTTTCCTTATCCAATCACCACTGATGGGCACCCAGCTTGTTTCCATGTCTTTGCTCTTGTGAGTAGTGCTGCGATGACCATGTGGGTGCATGTGTCTTTCTGGCATAAACATTTGTTTTCTTTTAGATATGTACCCAGTAATGTGATTGCTGGGTCAAATGGTCAAATTCTTTTAGAAATCACTAAGATGCTTTCTACAGCTGAACTAATTTACATTTTCACCAACAGTGTATACGTGTTCCCACGGCCTCGCCAGCATCTATTTTTTGACTTTTTTTTTTTTTTTTTCTGAGATGGAGTCTTGCTCTGTCGCTGAGGCTGGAGTGCAGTGGCATGATCTTGGCTCACTGCAACCTCTGCCTCCCGTGTTCAAGTGATTCTCGTAGCTCAGCCTCCTAACTGGGACTACAGGTGCACTCCACCATGCCCAGATAATTTTTGTAGAGATGGGCTTTCCCCATGTTGGCCAGGCTGTTCCGGAACTCCTGGCCTCAAGTGATCCGCCTGCCTTAGTTCTCCAAAGTGTTGGGATTACAGGCGTGAGCCACCGTGCCCGGCCCCTGTTTTTTGATTTTTTAATAATAGCAATTTACAGTTCCCTTTTAAAGGAAAAAAAAATTGTGAATCTCCAGTATTGTCCTAACTTATTTTATTAAGATATTTACTTTTTAAGATAGATATAAATATAAAACCAAGTATAAATCAAAAGTAAATTTATAGGCCAGGTGCGGTGGCTCATGCCTGTAATCCTAGCACTTCAGGAGGCCGAGGTGGGTGGATCACCTGAGGTCAGGAGTTGGAGACCAGCCTGCCCAACATGGCAAAACCTCGTCTCTACTAAAAAATACAAACATGAACCGGGCATGGTGGTGGGTGCCTGTAATGCCAGCTACTTGGGAGGCTGAGGCAGGAGAATTGTTTGAACCTGGGAGGCAGAGGTTGCAGAGAGCTGAGATCGCGCCACTGCACTCCAGCCTGGGCGACAGAGCCAGACTCTGTCTCAAAAACAAACAAAAAGTAAATTTATAAATCTAATGTAAACAAAACTGTAAAACCAATGTAAAAAAAATTAAACTTAGGGTGATGGATGATGTTGTTTTGCTTAAACAATCTTTGGGTCAGGCACAGTGGCTCACACCTGTAATCCCAGCACCTTGGGAGGCCAAGGTGGCAGGATAGCTTGAGTCCACGAGTGCAAGACCAGCCTGGGCAACGTAGCAAGACCTTGTCTCTACAACAAATACAAAGAAAATTGGCCAGAGTGTGATGGCTTGTGCTCGTTCTGTAGTCCCCGCTACTCGGGAGGCTGAGGTGGGAGGATCACTTGAGCCCAGGTGTCCGAGGCTGCAGTGAGCCATGATCTTGGCATTGCACTCTAGCCTGACGACAGAGCAAGACACTATCTCAAAACAAAACAAAAATGTATTTCTTTCCATAGTGAATATACTAGGGTCTGTCCTAGCGCAGATGTGCAGTTTTCTTTTTCTTTCTTTCTTTCTTTTTTTTTTTTTTTTTTGCAACGGAGTCTCACTCTGTCACCCAGGCTGGAGTACAGTGGCGCGATCTTGGCTCACTGCAACCTCCGCCTCCCAGGTTCAAGCGATTTTCCTGCCTCAGCCTCCCAGGTAGCTGGGACTACAGGTGCCCACCACCACTCCCAGCTAATTTTTTTGGTATTTTTAGTAGAGACGGGGTGTCACTGTATTGGCCAGGCTGGTCTCAAACTCCTGACCTCGCAATCTGTCCACCTCAGCCTCTGAAAATGCTGGGATTACAGGCATAAGCCACCGCACCCGGCCTGTTTTCTACATACTCTATATCCTATGATGACTCAATTTCTACACCACTCTTCTGTGTTTGAATGCTGCAAGTCTTTCTTTCTTAAATCTCAGGTTAAGTGGTTTGGCTTTTATTTGGCATAAATATGTCATTTATTTTATAAGTCCATTTTGTGCCTTTTTCTTTAGCTCATCTGAATTCTTGTACATTGATTTTGGATGTGATGTGGTTATTCAGATGATCCAGAATGTACTTTATAAAAATACTATTGAAATGAAAATACAAACCTTTCTTTTTTAAAAAAAAATTAGGTCAGGTGCAGTAGCTCATGCCTGTAATTCCAGCACTCTGTGAGGCCGAGGTGGGTGGATGGCTTGAGCTCAGGTGTTTGAGACTAGCCTGGGCAACATGGCGAGACCCCGTCTCTAGAAAAACTAGACAAATTAGCTAGTCATGGTGGTGCACACCTGTAGTCCCAGCTACTTCAGAGGCTGAGGTGGGAGGATCACTTGAGCCCCCAGGTGGAGGTTGCTGTGAGCCAAGATTGCGCCACTGCATTCCAGCCTGGGCAACAGAGTGAGACTCTGTCTCAGAAAAAATTTATTGTTTTAATTTGTTTTTTTCATGGAACACTTCACAAATTTGCATGTCGTCCTTGTGCAGGGGCCATACCAGTCTTCTCTGGGAAATACAAACCTTTCAAAACTTCATCAGAACTCATGGCTTATAGTCTACTGCTCCCAGTTTAGTTTGAGAAATATAGTTCTATAACTGGTTTTTTAGTTGTTGATGTTTTATTTTAGAAATAAAAGCTAAAATCTGGCCGGGCGAGGTGGCTTACACCTGTAATCCCAGCACTTTGGGAGACCGAGCTGGGCGGATCAATTGAGGTCAGGAGTTCAAGGCCAGCCTGGCCAACATGGTGAAACCCTGTGTCTACTAAAAATACAAAAAATAAGCCAAGCGTGGTGGCACACGTCTGTAATCCCAGCTACTCAGGAGGCTGAGGCGGGAGAATCACTTGAACTTGGGAGGCGGAGGTTGCAGTGAGTGGAGATCACGCCACTGCACTCCAACCTGGGTGACAGAGCAAGACTCCATCTCACACTCACAAAAAAAAGCTTAAATCTAAGTGGTATAGTTAACCAGTTAATGCTGGTAGTAAGCTCTAGGTACAAAAAATACAGTTGACCCTTGAACAATGTGGGGATTAGGGACACCAACCCCAAGCAGTCATATCCACATATGCATATAATGTTTGAATCCCCAAAAACTTAACTACTAATAGCCTATTGTTGACCAGAAGCCTTACGGATAACATACATAGTTGATTAACACATATTTTGTATATTTATTACATATCATATTCTTACAATAAAGTATGCTAGAGAAAAAATGTTATTACAAAAACCGTAAGGAGGAGAAAATATAGTTACTGTTCATGAACTGAAGTGGATCATCATAAAGGTCCTCATCCTTGTCTTCATGTTGAGGAGGCTGAGGAAGAGCAGCGGTAGGTCTTGCTGTCTGGAGTGGCAGAGGCAGAAGAGGTGGAGGAGGTAGATGAGGAGACAGGAGAGGTGGGCACACTTGATGTAACTTTATGGAAATACATTGTAATTTCTGTCTAACTTTTTTTCCCCTGCCTCCCTCCCTCCTTCCCTCCTCCCTCCTTCCTCCTTCCCTCCCCTCCTCCCTCCCTCCCTCCTTTCTATCCCTCCTTCCTTCCCTCCTTCCTTCCTTCCTCCCTCACCCTTGCTTTTTTTTTAGAGGTGAGGTCTCGCTATGTTGCTGGTCTTGAACTCCACCTGGGCTTAGGCGATCCTCATGCCTCAGTCTCCCAAGTAGCTGGGATTAAAGGCATGCACCACTATGCTTGATTTCTCTAAAAATATTTCTCTGTGGTAGCAAGCTTTTTTTCACTGTTTGCTTTAGCTTCATTGTGTGTATCGTAGAAGGGTCCATGTCATAAAAAATTTCAAAAGCAGTCTTGAATAATGCCGATTGTCTACTGTCAGTTCGTTTTCTGTGCTTCTTCTACATCTTCTTTCTCATTGTCTGGCACTAGTTCGGAA
Source organism: Homo sapiens (assembly GCF_000001405.40). NCBI lineage: Eukaryota > Metazoa > Chordata > Mammalia > Primates > Hominidae > Homo > Homo sapiens. The sequence continues at coordinate 83,002,060 of NC_000004.12, read as the reverse complement.
GCACTCATCTCCATCAAGTTGTCCCCTGTTAATTCCTCTGCTATGGTATCTGTTAGCTCTTGAATTTCTCCAAGATCCCTCCCTTCCTTCCTTCCTTCCTTCCTTCCTTCCTTCCTTCCTTCCTTCCTTCCCTCCCTCCCTCCCTCCCTCCCTCCCTCCCTCCCTCCTTCCTTCCTTCCTTCCTTCCTTCCTTCCTATCCTTTTTTTTTTTTTGAGACAGAGTCTTGCTCTGTCGCCCAGGCTGGAGTGCAGTGGTGCGATCTTCGCTCACTGCAAGCTCTGCCTCCCGGGTTCATGCCATTCTCCTGCCTCAGCCTCCCTGGTAGCTGGGACAACAGGCGCCCGCCACCACGCCCAGCTAATTTTTTTTTGTATTTTTAGTAGAGACGGGGTTTCACCATGTTTGCCAGGATGCTCTTGATCTCCTGACCTCGTGATCTGCCTGCCTCGGCCTCCCAAGGTGCTGGGATTACAGGCGTGAGCCACTGCGCCCGGCTTCTTTTTCTTTTCTTTTTGACAGGATTTCACTCCTGCTCAGGCTGGAGTGCGGTGGTGTGATCATAGCTCACCGCATCCTTGACCTCCTGGGCTCAAGTGATCCTTCCACCTGAGCCTCCTGAGTAGCTGGGACTACAGGTGCACACCACCACACCTGGCTAACTTTTAAATTTTTTGTAGAGATGGGATCTCACTAGGTTGCCCAGGTTACTCAAACTGCGGGGCTCAAGTGATCCCCTCACCTTGGCCTCCCAAAGTGTTGGGATTACAGTCATGAGCCAGTGTGCCTTACCCAAGATGCATATCTTGAAACCCTTCACCTCCCACCATTTTTGTCATATCCACAATTTATTTCATGATTTTCTTCATTGGTTATGTCATAAATCCTATGAAATCATGCACAATGTCTAGACACAGTTTTCTCTGTAAGAATTTATTGCTTTTGGGCTGGGCTTGGTGGCTCATGCCTATAATCCCAGCACTTTGGGAGGCCAAGGTGGGCAGATCACCTGAGGTTAGGAGTTTGAGACCAGCCTGGCCAACATGGCAGAACCCCATCTCTCCTAAAAATACAAAAATTAGCTGGGCGTGGTGGCGCGTGCCTTTGATCCCAGCTATTTGGGAGGCTGAGGCAGGAGAATTGCTTGAACCTGGGAGGCAGAGGTTGCAGTGAGCTGAGATCAAGATTGCGCCACTGCACTTCACCCTGGGACTCTATCTCCAAAAAAAAAAAAAGAATTTATTGCTTTGGGCTTGATGGCTTTCATGGCTTTGTCTATAACAATGATGGCATCTTCAGTGGTGTAATCCTTTCTGATTTTCATGATGTTCTCTCAGCGGGGTTCTCTTCTATAGACTTGATGTTCATTCCATAGAGTACCATGTATAATGAGCCTTAAAGGGCTTTTAAAGGCCAAATTAAAGATGCTGTATTTGGGGGCAAGCAGACCATGTTGATGCCTTCAGTGTTGAAAACATGGGGTTCTGAGTGGCTGGGAGCATTGTCCAATATCAAAGGAATTTTAAAAGGCAGTTCCTTACTGTCAAGGTACTTCATGTCTTCAAGGACAAAACACTGATGGACCCAATCCAGAAAAAGAGTTCTCATTGTCCAGGCCTTCTTGTTATACATTTGGAAGAGTGGCAGCTGGTGTTTATCCTTTCCCTTCAAGGCTCAGGGTTTAGCAGCTTTATAGATAAGGGCAGTTCTGATCATAAACCCAACTACATTTGCACAAAACAATAGAGTTGGCCTATCCCTTCATGCCTTAAAAATTCTGGTGCTCCCTTTTGTGCCTCACTAATAAATGTCTTTTATGGCATTCTTTTCCAGAATAAGGCACTTTCATCTGCATTGAAAGCCTGTTTGGGCTGGGCATGGTGGCTCATACCTGTAATCCCAGCACTTTGGAGAGCTGAGGCAGGAGGATCACTTGAGCCCAGGAGTTCGAGACCAGCCTGGGCAACGTAATGAGACCCTATCTCTATAAAAATTTAAAAAATTTAGCCAGGTGTGATGGCATGCGCCTGTGGTCCCAGCTATTCAGGAGGCTAAGGTGTGAGGATCACTTGAGCCCAGGAGGTCGAGGCTGCAGTGAGCTCTGATTATGCTACTGCACTCCAGTCTGGGTGACAGAGTGAGACCCTGTCTCAAGAAACAACAAAACAAAAAACCTGTTTGGGCAGATATCCATTCTCCTCAATGATTTTCTTAATGGCACCTGGGAATTCTTGGTCACTGGAAGCTGCTTCTCCTGTTTTCTTGCCTTTTTTTTTTTTTTTTTTGAGACAGAGTCTCGCCCTGTCACCTAGGCTGGAGTGCAGTGGTGCGATCTCAGCTCACTGTAGCCTCTGCCTCCCGGTTTCAAGCTATTGTCCCACCTCTGCCTCCCAAGTAGCTGGGACCACAGGCGTGTACCACCGTGCACAGCTAATTTTTGTATTTTTTGGTAGAGACAGGGTTTCACCATATTGGCCAGGCTGGTCTTAAACTCCTGACCTCAAGTGATCTGCCTGCCTCAGCCTCCCAAAGTGCTGGGATTATAGGCATGAGCCACATCCCAGCACTTTGGCCACACCTGGCCAAAGGCTGCATTTTCAATATTAGACAAAAAAATAATTTGCTAAAAGTGCAAGGTTTTCGTATCTGCTGGTGTAACTGCAGTGATGGCTTAACAAATTTCTTTTTTTATAATGGTCTTTACGCTGGATTCATTTATCTTGAAATGTTGGGCAACTGCAGCTGTAGACCTCAATGTACAGTACTTATCAAGCTGTTAAACTTTTACTTGTAATGTCATACTTTTCTCTGCTTCTTGGGAGCACTTCTAGCATCACTAGTGGCACTTCATATGGGTCTCCTAGTGTTATTCAAGTTTTACAGTATTGCATTAAACATAATGAAAAATATGGGAGATCACCTTTTACTGCAATACACAATTTACTGGAAGGAGGAACTGCTCATGTGGAAACAGACAATTAGTGGCAACACTTGAGCTCACAGCAGTAGCAACAGGAGGTGGCTACAATATTATTACAATAGTATAGTATGTACTACAGTTACTTTTTTGTGGTTTTGATTTAATAGTGCATCTTTGTTTACATTTCTCTCCACTGCAAATGATATAATTTGTTTGTGTGGATAAGTTTTTATACATTGTAACTTTTTATAATTTATATATTTTATGGTAGTAAATTATAAAACACAATGTTTACATATGTTTCATACATTCATGACATATCAAACTTTTTCTTAAATTTTTTTGATATTTCTAGGTGGTGACATGGTTCATCAGTGAGTTTTTTCAAATTGCCACAAATTTCCAAAAAATATTTAATATATTTATGGAAAAAAAATGCGTGTAAGTGGACCCTGTTCAAAGATCAACTAAACACTCAGATTCTTTCTTTCTTTCTCTTTCTTTTTCTTTCTCTGTTTCTTTCTCTTCTTTCTCTCTTCTCTTTCTCTCTTTTCTTTCTCTCTTTTCTTTCCCTCCCTCTCTTCCTTCCTTTCTTTCTTTTCTTTCTCTGACGGAGTCTCGCACCGTCGCCCGAGTTGGAGCTGCTATCTCGGCTTACTGCAACCTCCACCTCCTGGGTTCAAGCAATTCTTCTGCCTCAGCCTCCTGAGTAGCCAGGACTACAGGCATGTAGCACCATGCCCGGCTAATTTTTGTAGTTTTAGTAGAGACGGGGTTTCACTATGTTGACCAGGCCGTTCTTGAACTCCTGACCTCGTGATCTGTCCGCCTCAGCCTCCCAAAGTGCTGGGATTACAGGCATGAGCCACTGCACCTGTCCCAGATTATTTATTTTTAAATATCTCAAAAATTACTTGCTCATCTGTAATGTGGTGGTATGTCAGTACTTTATGTACAAGAATGAAAACAGCTGTTCACCTAGATTTTTCTCCTTCTGTAACTAGAAAAGAACAGTGTTTCTGCAATAGTAGTGTATAAAATGTAAAAGCAGATATGTCATTTAGTATATATATATATACGTGTATATATATATATACGTGTGTGTATATATATATATTATTATATATATATTATTATTTTTTTTTTTTGAGATGGAGTTTCACTCTTCTTGCCCAGGCTGGAGTGCAGTGGTGCAATCTTGGTTCACTGCAACCTCTGCCTCCTGAGTTCAAGTGATTCTCCTGCCTCAGCCTCTCAAGTAGCTGGGATTATAGGAGCGCACCACCATGCCCGGCTAATTTTTTTGTATTTTTGCAGAGACAGGGTTTCACCATGTTGGCCAGGCTGGTCTCAAACTCCTGACCTCAGGTGATCCGCCCTCCTTGGCCTCCCAAAGTGCTGGGATTACATTATTTTTTATTTTGTATTGAATTCACTTCTTTTTTATTGTCACCATCCTAAATCATATCTAGCATTTATCTGTATCTTGAACTAATTACTACAATAGCCTTCCAACTGGTCTCCCTGCCTCCAAAATCCTCAGATGAGGTTAATCCTCCCAAAATATAACTGTGATCATGTTAGTCATCTATTTATTTCTAGGCTCTTTGAGGGCAAGGTCTTTGATTAATTTCCCATAATCCCCTCCTCAAAGTTAGGAAGCAAGAAGTATTTTATTAATTAAATGACTGATAAAAAGTATAAGCTAGTTAGAAACTAATAGAACCTTGTAGATTTAAAGATGGAATGTAATTGCAGAGGATATTGGTTAAAAGCTAAATTTGAGTATTAAAAACTTATTTGAAAGGAGTTTCTCAGTTTGTTAGTGTACCTTATGACAATATGGGTTTATTTTATTTAAAGTGTTGTGAAGTCCCAGAGCATTATATAAACCTATCCTACTCAAATTGACAAAAGTTATTTTCAAAGTCCAATGTAAATAATTCTACAGTTTAGGTGACACTCCTTCTCTATGATTACTTTATTCATTGTTCAGATTTATACACAGTAAATATTATTTGCCAGCTCTGTTATAGGCACAGGGGATGGGGGTTCAGTAGTGATGAAGACAAATATGTTCCTGTCTTTGTGTGGCTTTGCATTCTAAAGAAGTTGAGGAGGGACAATAAAAGTATAAACAAATAAACAAGATACTTCTGATTGTGATAGATGCTGTGATGGAAATGCCAGGGTAATGGGATAGAGTACCTGGGCCAGTGGAGATGAGGATGGCGGTCCTATTTTAGATACTTTTTTTTTTCCCTAATACATTAAGACAAATGTACAAATCAGACTTTTCTAAATGGGTGACTGTTTAACTCTCACCGGACTTAAACCATTTAACCATTCAACTGTGTTGGGAGAAAGCTCATTTTATTGGCTTCTAGAACATACTTTGCCTTTAGAACTTTTATTTTATGAACTAAAAATATTGGAAGAGGCTGGGTGTGGTGGCTCAAGCCTGTAATTCCAGCACTTTGGGAGGCTGAGATGGGTGGATCATGAGGTCAAGAGTTCGAGACCAGCCTGGCCAACATGGTGAAACCCCATCTCTACTAAAAATACAAAAATTAGCCAGGCATGGTAGCACATGCTCGTAGTCCCAGATACTTGGGAGGCTGAGACAGGAGAATCTCTTGAACCCGGGAGGCAGAGGTTGCAGTGAGCTGAGATCATGCCACTGCATTCCAGCCTGGGCGACAGAGTGAGACTCTGTCTCAAAAAATAAATAAATAAATATTGGAAGCATAGGGGAATGCATTGTATGTTCTGGATTCTTTCTCTACCATACCTTCACAGGTAACGCCTTCTACAGATGAGGTGAACTAAAGCTTCTCAGCTCTTTTAGCCTATGAAGAGCCTCTCTTTTCTTGGAGTGGCCTTCAACATAGTGACGATGAGGTTGCATGTGCTAGTACATGGCTTCCATTCCTAAGAGATAAAATAGCATGATGGATCATGTAACTGTGTGGACAAACCCTTTCCTGCCATGCCCAGTCCTTCTGAAACTTTCTCTTTTTTTTTGAGATGGAGTTTTGCTCATGATTTCGGCTCACCGCAACCTCCGCCTCCCGGGTTCAAGCAATTCTCCTGCCTCAGCCTCCCGAGTAGCTGGGATTACAGGCATGAGCCACCACGCCCAGCTAATTTTGTATTTTTAGTAGAGACGGGGTTTCTCCATGTTGCTCAGGCTGGTCTTGAACTCCTGACCTCAGGTGATCCACCCACCTTGGCCTCCCAAAGTGCTGGGATTACAGGTGTGAGCCACCGTGCCTGGTCCTGAAACTTTCTTTTAGCATAGGCCACCATGCCCTGCATGTGACCCTGATTGAAACAAACAGGGAGGCCAGGAGTAGAGGCTGACGCCTGTAATCCCAGCACTTTGGGAGACCGAGGCGGGTGGGTGGATCACGAGGTCAGGACATGTAGACCAGCCTGGCTAACATGGTAAAACCCTGCCTTTACTAAAAATACAAAAAATTAGCCGGGTGTGGTGGCACGCACCTGTAGTCCCAGCTACTTGGGAGGCAGAGGCAGGAGAATTGCTTGAACCCTGGAGGCAGAGGTTGCAGTGAACTGAGATTGTGCCACTACACTCCAGCCTGGGTGACAGAGCGAGACTCCATCCCAAAAAAAAAAAAAAAAAAAAAAAAGAGATAAGGATGTGTAATCATAAGACAGTCATCTATATTCTGTTCTGTAGTTTATGAGCTATCCTGGCTCTGGAATAGTCTCTGTCTATTACATAGACTCTGGCCAAACCAATCAGACCTTTTTTAAAAAAAAATTAAATTTAAATTAAAAATAAATTAAAATTAAATTAAATTAATTTTTTTCCCCCCAGAGACAGGATCTTACCCAGTCACCCAGGCCAGAGTGCAGTGGCACTATCATACCTCACTGCAGCTTCAAACTTCTGAGATTACACTTTCCTCCTGTCTCAGCCTCCCGAGTAGCTGGGACTTTAGACATGCCCCACCACGCCTGGCTAATTTTTAAAAATTATTTTTTTGTAGAGAAGAAGGTCTTACCATGTTGTGCCCAGGCTGGTCTCCAACTCCTGGACTTAAGCAGTCCTCTTGCCTTGGCCTCCCAGAGTGTTGGGATTACAGGTGTGAGCCACTGAACCTGGCCCAGACCTTTTCTTGTTAGAAGTTTGGACTTTGCTCCTAGTTCAAAGGGAGAGTCCCACTCCTATAATTCTCAGTCTCTTTTAACAGGACAGGTAAAAACGTATGTTCTTCTGACAACAGAACTTCAAAATATATGAAGCAAAAATGTGCAGAAGGGGAGACGTAAACAAATCCACCACCATATTTGGGGATTTTAACACCCTAAAAATTTATTAAGGATATCAAAGATCTGAATAACTCTATCAACCAGCTTTTGCTAACTGACATAAATAGAATACTACCCTCAGCAACTATTAAAAAAAATGTTCTTGGCTGGGCAAGGTGGCTCATGCCTGTAATCCCAGCACTTCGGGAGGCCAAGGAGGGCGGATTGCCTAAGGTCAGGAGTTCGAGACCAGTCTGGCCAACATGGTGAAACCCTGTCTCTACTAAAAATACAAAAAAATTAACTGGGCGTGGTGCCATGCACCTGTAATCCCAGCTACTTGGGAGGCTGAGGCAGGGGAATTGCTTGAACCGGGGAGGTGGAGGTTGCAGTGAGCCCAGATTGCGCCACTGCACTCCAGCATGGGTGACAGGGCAAGACTCTGTCTCAAAAAAAAAAAAATTCTTTTAAAATGCACAAGGAGGATTCACCAAGAGAGACCGTATACTGAGTCAAAAAATAAGTCTCTAATTTCAAATGATGAGAATGTTAAAGAGTATTATGTTCTCTGACAATACTATAATTAAATTAGTAATCAATAATAATAGCATAGCTAGAAAATCTCCAAGTGCTTGGGAATTAAATGGCACACTTCTTTATTATCCATGTGTCAGGTAAAATCACAAGCAATATTAGAAAACATTTGAAGTGAATGATAATAAAAACGTATTGAAATTAATGGAATACATCTAAAGAGCTTTGGGGAAAAGTTTTCATATTAAAGGCTTACTGTAAAAAAGAAGAAAGTTTTAAAATCAATCAATCATTTAAACCAGGAGTTGACAGACTTTTTGTGTAAAGCTCCAGGTAGCAAATATTGGAGGCTTTGTAAGTCATGTAAGTCTGTCATATTCCCCCTTGCCCCAACCATTTAAAAATGTAAATATCAGGCCAGGCGTAGTGGCTCATGCCTGTAATCCCAGCACTTTGGGATGCTGAGGCAGGTGGATCAGTTGAGATCAGAAGTTCAAGACCAGCCTGACCAACATGGTGCAACCCCATCTCTGCTAAAAATACAAAAGTAGCCGGCATGGTGGCATGCGCCTCTAATCCCAGCTACTTGGGAGGCTGAGGCAGGAGAGTTGCTTGAACCTGGGAAGCAGAGGTTGAAGTGAGCCAAGATCACACCACTGCACTCCAGCCTGGGTGACAGAGTGAGGCACTGTCTCAAAAACAAACAAAGAAACAAACAAAAAACCATTTTTAGGTAGGAAGCAATATATAAAGACCATGGGCATCATTTAGTATTTTGGTGAACCCTGATCTGTGTTTCCATCTTAAGATTCTAGCCGGGCGCGGTGGCTCACCGCTGTGATCCCAGCACTTTGGGAGGCCGAGGCAGGCGGATCACCTGAGGTCTGGAGTTTGAGACCAGCTTGACCAACATGGAGAAACCCTGTCTCTACTAAAAATACAAAAAATTAGCCAGGGGTGGTGGCGCATGCCTATAATCCCAGCTACTTGGGAGGCTGAGGCAGGAGAACCGCTTGAACCCAGGTGGCGGAGGTTGCAGTGAGCCAAGATTGCACCATTGCACTTCAGCCTGGGCAACAAGAGTGAAACTCCATCTCAAAAAAAAAAAAAAAGATTCTAGAAAAAGAAGAACAAATCAAACAGAAGCAAAGAGGTAAAGATAATAGTTAATTTAAATAAAAAATGGGCCAGGCACAGTGGTGCATGCTGAGAGGCCAAGCTGGGCAGATCACTTGAGCTCAGGAGTTTGAGACCAGCCTAGGCAACGTGGTAAAACCTCATTTCTTTTTTTTTTTTTTTTTCTGAGACAGAGTCTCGCTTTGTCACCCAGGCTGGAGTGCAGTGGCGTGATCTCAGCTCACTGCAAGCTCCGCCTCCTGGGTTCACGCCATTCTCCTGCCTCAGCCTCCCGAGTAGCTGGGACTACAGGCACCTGCTACCATGCCCGGCTAATTTTTTGTATTTTTAGTAGAGACGGGGTTTCACCGTGTTAACCAGGATGGTCTCAATCTCCTGACCTCGTGATCCACCCACCTTGGCCTCCCAAAGTGCTGGGATTACAGGCGTGAGCCACCACGCCTGGCCGGGGACACCTCATTTTTACAAAACAAAAGCCAGGCATCGTGGTGCATGCCTCTAGTCCCAGCTACTTGCGGGGCTGAGGCAGGAGGATTGCTTGAGCCTGGGAATTCGACGCTTCAGTGAGTCGTGTTCACGCCACTGTGTCGTGGTTTGCTTGCTACAGCCTCCAAGTCAAGGGAGTGTGAGCTAGGACTACAAGCAGGCCCTACCACACCCAGCTAATTTTTATCTTTATTTTGTTGAGATGGGGTCTTGATATGTTGTCCCGACTGGTCTCAAACCCATGGCCACAAGTGAGCCATCTTGACCTCTCAAAAGTTCTGAGATTACAGGTGTGAGCCACCATGCCCGGTCCAAAAATGGTTCTTTGTAAAGGTCAATAAAATGGATAATCTCTAGCTAATCAAGAATAAAAGGAGAGAAGACAGTTTACCACTACGAGGAATGAAGAGAGGACATTTCTACAGATCCTGCAGATATTAAAAGAATATTACATGTAACTTTGTGCTACTACATTTGGCAGCTTAGAGGAAATAGGCAAATTCCTTCAAAGACACAAACTATCAAATATCCCAGGTTACTCGGGAAGAAAGATAATCTGAATCGCCCTACATCTGCTAAAGGAAATGAATTTATAGTTAAAAACCTTCCCACAAGGAAGCTTTATATCTAGATGGCTTTACTGGTGAATTTTAGCAAATATTTAAGGAGGAAATAGAGACGATTCTGTGCAAACTTTTCCTGAAAAATAAGAACACACTCCAATTCATTTTATTAGGCTAGCATTATCTCCAGGCAGACACTATAAAATGAAAAGAAAACTACAGATCAATATCCCTCATTAACATAACAAAAATGTTTAACAAAATATTAGCAAAATATAATTTAGCAATATATACAAATTATAAGACATGATCAAGTGGGGTTCATATCAGGAATGCAAAATTAATTTAATCAAAAATTAATATAATTCACAGATTAAAAAAAGAAAAGCCATACGATTTTCTCACTAGTTGCAGAAAAAGCATATGATAGAATTAAACATCCTTTTATGATTTTTTAAAAAACCTCATCAAATTGGGAAAGACGTAAACTTTCTCAACCTGGTAAAGAAAATCTATGGAAACCTATAACTAACAGATAAGATTAGGAACAGGGCAAATATGTCTGCTGTCACCACTTTTAGTCAACATTTTCCTGGAGGTCCTAGCAAGTGTAGTAAGGGAAAAGAAATATAAAACATGTAGATTGGAAAGGAGGAAATACAGATGTTACAGACAACATGGACTGTATTTATAGAAAATCTTAAGTCATCTATACTGAAAAGCTATCAGAATTAATAAGTGAGTTTAGCTAGGTTGTAGGATACATGGACAATATACAAAAATCAGTTTTATTTGTACATACTCATAAACAATTGGAAAATGGAAAATGCCATTTATAACAGCATCAAAAAACATGAAATACTTAAGGATAAATTTAACAAAATATGTATAAGACCTATATACTTAAAGTGCACAACATTGCTAACATAAATAAGATATAGTTATTTGGGAGACAATTTTCCATGGGTCTTTTTTTTTTTTTTTTTTTTTCTTAAGAGACAGGCTGTCACTGTGTTGCCCAGGCTGGAGTACAGTGGTGCACTGCAGCCTTGAACTTCTGGCCTCAAGCGATCCTCCCATCTCATCCTCCTGAATAGCTGGGACTACAGGTGCACGCCATTGCACCTGACTTCTTCATGGGTCCTTGCATTTCTGTACCTCTTACCAGTGAGGCAGTGACAGCCCTTTTGTTTTAAATGATCTTTTCAAGGATATGTGTATAGCAAACAGCCTGGGATGATATAGCATCTCCCTCTGTAGCAAAGGGCAGATTTGCTTATTGTCCAGTATAATAAAGATAATATCTCCCTCTGGGCAAAGAGCAGGTTTGCTTTGGCCCGTTATAAAAGATTTGGGTTCCCTGGCTGGGCGCGGTGGCTCACGCCTGTAATCCTAGCACTTTGGGAGGCGGAGGCGGGCGGATCACGAGGTCAGGAGATCGAGACCATCCTGGCTAACATGGTGAAACCCTGTCTCTACTAAAAATACAAAAAATTAGCCGGGCGTGGTGGCGGGCGCCCGTAGTCCCAGCTACTCAGGAGGCTGAGGCAGGAGAATGGCATGAACCTGGGAGGCGGAGCTTGCAATGAGCCGAGATCGCGCCACTGCACTCCAACCTGGGCGACCGAGTGAGACTCTGTCTCAGAAAAAAAAAAAAAGATTTGTGTTACCTAAGCTCAGGGTTCCTAAGTTATGATACAAACCTACTGCATATGTGGCATCTACCTGGACCCCCCTGTGTCTTCCCTGCGGGACTTGGGGGATATGGGGGAACTGATACACACATAATGCTCATGTTCCTTGCTGTACTGTGAGTCAAAAGTCCTTTTGTCTCTGACACATGACTACTGTGTCTTCTGCCGGTATCCATGGAAGATTACTAGGCTACTTTGTTAGCTTTCAAAGAGAGTTGAAAGTCTCAGACCCTCACAGTTCTTGATAGTTTTGGCCATGAGGATGGGGTGCTGACAGGCATGGCATTCTGAAGGAGGAAGGATGAGGGCCTCTTGGGCTAGGTTAGGAGATATGAAAATTCTCTCTGGCATCTGTTAGTGAATGGTCTCACCCAGGTGGTGGGCAAGGGCAGTGGGGATGGGGAGAATGAAAGTCCTCCACTGTTCTACCTGTTAATGAATAATTTAGAGGCTTAGTTGAGAGGTAGGATTGAAACATACCACCTGAATGGTGCTTTGGTTGTTGTACACTCAACTTCATGGCCCCTGCTCTGCTGAAAGGCAATGTGGCTATAGCTGCTGAGTTAAGGAGCCCTCAAAGCAGAACATATGGTGTCCACAATAAGGATATAGAGCTTTAGGTGGATTCAAAACCTTAGAAGTTTGGTTGAGCTGCAGGGGTTAATGCTTGAAAATGAAAGTAAATGCAAGCTTTGCTTACTGCTCTAAAGCCACAGTCTCCCTCTGTGGCCTGACCTCTCCCTCCTCCTACTCTTTAATTTCAGGTGCTTTAAAGAGAAAGATTAATAGGGGTTGGGCTGATGTCTGTGTGTCCTTATGGGGACCAAAGGCCATACCCCTATGTCTAAATATGCTGGAAGAACTTCAGGGAGAGGAAGGAGTCAAACTTTTATGGTTCTGTTGGATATAGGAACTAAATCATCATTCGTTGGGGGTAGTATCCAGATTCAACTCTTGGGGTTTGGGGAAGAAAGCTAGTGTGACATTGTGAGTGGAGCCCTTTGTTGTATATTGTTGTTGTGATTGTCATTGCTGATGTATATTTGATGTTGATACTTTTACATTCTTGTGCTGTGAATTCCCATAAGTGCCAGAGGGGATTCTTTGATCAGGAAGAGCGACATAAAGAAGTGCTAGTACTTTGGTGTCCCAAAACCCTAGTGAGTCCTTTAAGATGTTATAAGTGACTGATAACTTCACAGTATACATAATGAATTCATCCAATTCAATAAGACTGTAAACCTGGTATTTTTTTTTTTTCTTGAGAGAGAGTCTGGCTCTGTTGCCCAGGCTGGAGTGCAGTGACGTGATCTTGGCTCACTGCAAGCTCCGCCTCCCGGGTTCACGCCATTTTCCTGCCTCAGCCTCCTGAGTAGCTGGGACTACAGGCACCCACCACCGCGCCTGGCTAATTTTTTGTATTTTTAATAGAGATGGGGTTTCACCATGTTAGACAGGATGGTCTCGATCTCCTGACCTTGTGGTCTGCCTGCTTCGGCCTCCCAAAGTGCTGGGATTACAGGCATAAGACACCGCGCCCGGCCAAACCCAGTATTTTTAAAAGAAAAAAAAATTTAACAGGAACTTGTCAAAGGAAGATATACAGACAGACAATATGCACATGAAAAGAGGCTAGAGTCATTAATCATCTGGGAATTGCAAATTAAAAACACAATGAGATATCACTTCACATAGGCTAGAATGGCTGGAGTTGAAAAGACCAACAGAAGACTGACAATACCAATTGTTGGTGAGGCTGTGCAGCAGCTGGAACTCTCATACATTGCTGGAGGGTGTATAAAATGGTACAGCTAAGTTGGGAAATAGTTTAGCAGTTTCATGCAAAATTAAAAATAAACTTACCATGTGATTCACCTAGAAGGAATTGCCAGATCTTCTAGATATTTACTCAAAAGAAATGAAAAACGTATTTTCTGAAAAAACTTGAACCTAAGTATTTATAGCAGTTTATAGCAGAATTATTCATCATAGTTCCAAACTGGAAACAGTCCAAATGTCCATTAACAGATGAATGCATATACAAATTGTGGTCAATTTGTACAATGGAATATTACTCAGCAGTAAAAAGGAATAGAACTACTAATAAGTAAAACGATAAAGATAAATCTCAAAAGCATGCTGAGAGAAAAAACTCATACCATATGATTGCTTTATGTCATAAGTACATAATATATTATTCAATTTAAATGAAGTTCTGGAATGAGCAAAAAGACAAATAATCTTTAGTGATAGAACAGACCCACTTCTCAAAAGAAACATTTATGTGGCCAAAAAAACATGAAAAAAAGCTCAACATCATTGATCATCAGAGAAATGTAAATGAAAATCACAATGAGATACCATCTCATGCCAGTCAGAGTGGCGATTATTAAAAAGTCAGGAAACAATAGATGCTGGCAAGGCTGTGGAGAAATAGGAATGCTTTTACATTGTTCATGACAATGTGAATTAGTTCAACCACGGTGGAAGACAGTATGGTGATTCCTCAAGGATATAGAACCAGAAATACCATTTGGCCCATCAGTCCCATTACTGGGTATGTACCCAAAGGAATATAAATCATTCTACTATAAAGACACATGCACACATATGTTTATTGCAGCACTATTTACAATAGCAAAGACATGGAACCAACCCAAATGCCCATCAGTGATAGACTGGATAAATAAAATTTGGCACTTATACACCATGGAATACTATGCAGCCATAAAAAGGAATGAGATCATGTCCTCTGCAGAGACATGGATGAAACTGGAAGCCATCATTCTCAGCAAACTAACACAGGAACAGAAAACCAAACACTGCATGTTCTCACTTATAAGTGGGAGTTGAAGAATTGAGAACACATGGACACAGAGAGGGGAACAACACACATTATGTTCTGGTGGGGGGTTGGGGTCAAGGGGAGGGAACTTAGAGGTGGGGTCAACAGGTGTAGCAAACCACCATGGCACACGTATACCTGTGTAACAAACCTGCATGTTCTGCACATGTATCCCGTTTGTTTTTTGTTTTTTGTTTTTTTCTTAGAAAAGTAGACTTATTTTTTCCCTGTTTTAAAACACCAATGGCAACATTTAAGGGAGTATAATTTTGGGATTAAGGTTATTAACTGTGGCATCTTTTTAAAAAAATTTTTGAGACAAAGTCTCACTCTGTTGCCCAGGCTGGAGTGCAGTGGCACGATCTTGGCTCACTGCAACCTCCGCCTCCCGGCTTCAAGCGATTATTGTGCTTCAGCCTTCTGAGTAGCTGGAATTACAAGCACCCACCACCACGCCTAGCTAATTTTTGTATTTTTAGTAGAGATGGGGTTTTGCCATGTTGGCCAGGCTGGTCTCGAACACCTGACCTCAGGTGATCTGCCCACCTCGGCCTCCCAAAGTGCTGGGATTACAGGTAAGAGCCAGTGTGCCCAGCCAAGATAATTAACTGTGGCATATTAAAAACCTGAGCTGGAGTCCTGGCTCTACCATTTACTAGCTATGTGACCTTAGGCAAATTAACCTTTCTAAATGGCCTCATCTATAAAACAGGGATAATGATGATTCCCATTTCTGAGTTGTTGTGAGGATAAATTAAATTACGTCATCAGTGTTGTAAGCACTCAATAATGATGGTTTATTTTGGTGGTAGTAGTATTTGCCAATGCTAATAGTTGTAATTTGCTACTTGTGTGTTAATTTTGGATGGGTGTTGTATCTTTTTTTTTTTTTTTTTTTTTTTTGAGATGGGGTCTCGCTCTGTCGCCCGGCTCAAGTGCAGTGGCACGATCTCGGCTCATTGCAACCTCTGCCTCCCAGGTTCAAGTGATTCTTCTGCCTCAGCCTCCTGAGTAGCTGGGACTATAGGTGCATGCCACCATGCCCAGCTAATTTTTGTATTTTTAGTTGAGACGGGGTTTCACCATGTTGGCCAGGATCGTCTCCATCTCTTGACCTTGTGATCTGCCTACCTCGTGATCTGCCAGAATGCCCAGCCGGGGTGGTGTATTTTTATATTTAAAAAAAGGGGGCCGGGCATGGTGGCTCACACCTATAATCCCAGCACTTTGGGAGGCCAGCGTGGGCAGATCACCTGAGGTTGGGAGTTTGAGACCAGCCTGACCAACATGGAGAAACCTTGTCTCTACTAAAAATACAAAAAATTAGCTGGGCGTGGTGGCACATGCCTGTAATCCCAGCTACTTGGGAGGCTGAGGCAGGAGAATCGCTTGAACCTGGGAGGTGGAGGTTGCGGTGAGCCGAGATTGCGCCACTGCACTCCAGCCTGGGTAACAAGAGCGAGACTCTGTCTCAAAAACGAAAAGGAAGAGAAGAAAGTTGCTGATTTGGTTCCTATGGATCTTTGATGTTCTCTGGGCAAATAACTCACTGCTATTTAGTCTGTCATAAACATGATGTGCTGTCTTTTATACATGAAGATAATAAAATTGATTCCTTTATTGGAAGTTCTACAGACCTTTGGCTAAAAGTACCACAGCTCAAAGTTTTTCGTAATCTGCTTTATGATTATTACTTTTTTTCTTCATGGGGATTGGCTGTACATCTCTTAAATGGTTCTTTTTGACACTTTAAATGGCGGAGGATGGCCAGGCACGGTGGCTCACGCCTGTAATCCCAGTACTTTGGGAGGCCGAGGCAGGTGGATCACCCGAGGTTAGGAGTTCGAGACCAGCCTGGCCAACATGGCAAAACCCTGTCTCTACTAAAAGTACAAAAATTAGCCCGGCTTGGTGGCAGGCGCCTGTAATTCCAGCTACTCAGGAGGCTGAGGCAGGAGAATTGCTTGAACCCAGGAAGCGGAGGTTGCAGTGAGCTGAGATTGTGCCACTGCACTTCAGCCTTGGCAACAGAGTGAGACTCCGTCTCAATAATTAATTAATTAAGTAAGTAAGTAAATGGCCAAGGAGGGTTTGAGAATCTTCTTTCCAAATAAAAATTTCCCTGGTATGAAGCTAGTTGGTCAAAGTTGTACCACAAATGCTATTTGATCTGCAATTGCTGAGATGTATTACTCTAGAAACTCCTTTAACTTTAATTTGGGTATTTAATGGATTTTTAAAATGGGATAGTACACTCATATTAGGACGTAGCTCATTGGAGATTTGAATGTATTTTACAATATGTTAATATTTAAATCTTTATTTCCTTGTGTGAATCAGCAGTTTTCAAGTCTGTCAATGAGAGGAAAAAAATCTGGGTAGAAATAAGATCAGATACATCAAAGATTACAAATTTTATTAGAGGGCGTTGGAAAGGAGTTTCATGTGATTATGTGACTTAGTGTTGCCTGAGTGCAAGATACTTGTGGATTGAGACGAGAGTAAGAATGTTTGCTTCTAGTTTTGTGTTCCCATATGACTTATATTATAGATTCTTGCAGGTTGAGGATGTGTTAACATGATTTAACCCAGATAAGCTTCAGGAATATTCTTCATTCAATTATATATCAATTTAAAAATTGTCATTTTGCCATTTGCATTTTTTTTGAATTTTTTTCTTACATCTTTTGAAACCTAGTAACTTGTTCATTTTTCAACTTTTATTACAGTGCCTGATCAACTTTCTAGCGGGAGAACGATCATGGAGGTGGTGCCAGCTGAGGTGAATAGTTTGCTTCCAGAGGAAATAATGGACACTGGTATAACTTTAGTGGATGATGATAGTATTGAGGCTGTTATTGTTTCATCCCCAATTCCCATGGAGACAGAACTGGAAGAAATTGTCAACATAAATTCTACTGGTGACTCTACAGCCACGCCCATTTCCACGGAACCAATCACAGTGTACAGTAACCACACTAACCAAGTTGCAGTGAATACCACAATTACTAAAGCAGATTCTAATACCACAGTGAAACCAGCTTTTCCAAGTGGCCTTCAAAAACTTGGTGCTCAGACTCCTGTGACTATATCAGCCAATCAGATTATTTTAAACAAAGTATCACAGACATCTGATCTTAAACTTGGCAATCAGACCCTTAAACCAGATGGACAGAAGTTAATTTTAACAACTTTGGGCAAGTCTGGTTCACCAATTGTTTTAGCACTACCCCATAGCCAACTACCCCAGGCTCAGAAAGTTACAACTCAGGCCCAGTCAGGAGATGCTAAGTTACCACCGCAGCAAATTAAAGTAGTTACCATTGGAGGGAGGCCAGAGGTGAAACCTGTCATTGGTGTCTCAGCATTGACCCCAGGAAGTCAACTGATTAATACTACAACTCAGCCCTCTGTGTTACAGACCCAACAGTTAAAAACAGTACAGGTAAAAGAAAAAAGGGGGCTTACTAATTAAAATGCATGTTTAAAAAAATTTAACTGATTCATAGTTGTGTTTATAGGGTTACTAAATACATAGTTGTTACTGAATTCTTTTGAATGTTGTTTTATGTAATTGTGTGTGTGTGTTTTTAAGTTTGATATGTCTAATGCTTATGAAAATTTTTACCAGATAACTTAGAAAGCAAACTTAATTTTGGTTAAATTCCAAATTAGTATATTTATAGCCTTTTACTAATTTTAAAATGCATTTTATTCTTAGTGGTAGTTTGATTACAAGGATGTTTTGCTGGTATAAATATGCCAGACTTGCTGCTGGGCTATCAAAAAAATCATGTAGACAACATTTTTTTTTTTCAGTTCACAGATGGCCAAAGGCTAGGAGAACTTTGTTGCTCTGAGAAACCCTCAGAGCCAGTAATAGTGCGTGTCAGCCAGCGTGTGCCTTTTATTTGGAGTTTACTGTTCATTGCCATTATTCATGTTTGTACTATGGAAAAGACAGTGACATGTGATGGAAGATAACATACAGGCTTTAGAGTTGTACCAACTGGGCTTGAGTTGCCTCTATCTTATCCTACCAGTTATGGAAAACTTTCGTAGGTTACTTATCTTCTCTGAGTTTTTGACTTTATCTTAAGAATACTTTTTGATCAAGATGAAATGTGTAGTATAATTCTCAAAATATTGAGGATGTTTCATAATGGTACCTATTATTAGTATGAATAGGACCCTAAGAAAGAAGGTTACTGGAATATATATTAAGTGATTTCCAGTTTATCATGCCCAAATAGGCTTTCTTAGGCCACCACTACTCTTGGAAATGCAGTGATCGGCGGGGCGTGGTGGCTTAAGCCTGTAATCCCACCCAGCACTTTGGCAGGCTGAGGTGGGCGGATCACCTGAGGTCAGGAGTTTGAGACTAGCCTGCCCAACATGGTGAAACCTCATCTCTACTAAAAATACAAAAAATTAGCCAGGCATGGTGGCGAGTGCCTATAATCCCAGCTACTCAGGAGGCTGAGACAGGAGAATCGGTTGAACCCGGGAGGCAGAGGTTGCAGTGAGCCGAGATCGCGCCATTGCACTCCAGCCTGGGTGACAAGAGCGAAACTCCATCTCAAAAAAAAAAAAAAAAACAAGAAATGCAGTGATATACTTATGACCAGGAAACAAAAATGTATCCTCTGTTTGAAAGAGTTGTCTTTGAATGCATAGAAATAATAGGAAATGCATAAGAAGGAAGTAGGAAGGTTTTGGGAGACTACACTCAGCTGATATTAGAGTAATGTTTTGGTTACTGTTTTGACAGTAGAATTAGAAACCACTTTTCATGGGCTTTGCATTTAAGAACTTTGTAGAATTTCTTAAATCTTATAATTTGCCTCTGTCCCCTTTGCCATTATTAAACATTTAGTGCTCTTTCTTGTTCATTATTACTTCTCACTTATCTATGACTTCCTTTTACTTCTTATTTTTGCCAAGAATCTCTTGGATGAGATATCTTATCACCATCAAGCATCTTGTCCTCAGTTTTGAAGCTTGTTTTTATTGGTTTACCAAAGTTTATTTGGCTTTGGCAATATGGATCATAATTATGTTCAAAAGAAACTGATGCCAGGTGTGGTGGCTCACGAACCTGTAAGCCCAACACTTTGGGAGGCCAAGGTGGGCAGATTCTGTGAGGCCAGGAGTTCGAGACCAGCCTGGGCAACATAGTGAAACCCTGTTTCTACCAAAAATACAAAAAATTAGCCCAGCATGGTGGCGCACACTTGCGGTCCCAGGTACTCAGGAGGCTGAGGTGAGAGGGTCGCTTGAGCCGGGGAGGTCTAGGCTGCTGTGAGCTGTGGTCGCATCACTGCACCTCAGCCTGGGCTACAGGAAAACCCTGTCTCAAAAAAATAAAAATAAACTAAAAAAGGAAAAGATATCATAAATTAGAATGTCATTTTTTTCATTTATGAGAGCAAGGTATATGTGACATTTCAATGACCAGTGTTGCTTGTATCTATTATTTCTCTACTTTAACTCCCTAAGTAATGACAATAAAAAAAAGACTGGGGTCTAATTCTTATAACTTGTTTTATTGTTACTTTTCTGTTTTGTTTTGTTTTGTTTTTGAGACAGGTCTCTCTGTCACCCAGTCTGGAGTGCAGTGGGTGCTCCACTGCAGCCTTGACCCCCCAAGCTCAAATGCTCCTCCCACGTCAGCCTCCCAAGTAGCTGGGACTACAGATGCAAACCACCACACCTGGCCAATTTTTGTATTTTTTTTGTAGAGATGGGGCTTTGCCATGTAGCCCAGGCTGGTCTCAAACTCCTGGACACAAGCAATCCACCTGCCTTGGCCTCTCAAAAGTGCTGGGATTACAAGCATAAGCCACTGCACCTGGGCTATTGTTAGTTTTCTAAAGCCTGTTTCTATCTAATAAAAAAGAATTCTATTAAAAAAAACAATAAAAAGGAATTAGATTT
The DNA here is from genome assembly GCF_000001405.40 of Homo sapiens. Lineage (NCBI taxonomy): Eukaryota > Metazoa > Chordata > Mammalia > Primates > Hominidae > Homo > Homo sapiens. The sequence continues at coordinate 82,981,668 of NC_000004.12, read as the reverse complement.
AGAATTTTTTTTACTTGTACAATCCATTATTTTTAGGCGACTTAAGTCTTTCCATCTCAGAAGTAACCTCAAAGCTCTGAAGCACAAAAGACAAATTAAAAACTATGCATCTATATTTTTTCCTTTTTTGACACCAGAATATTTGGTTTAGTATTACAAAGAGTATATGATTTTCTGGTTTTTTTCCCCCTAGGTAGTTGTCAGTGTTAAGTTTAGTCAGAGTATTGAGACTGTTAGGGTATAGATAGCAGGCAACGGTGGAAGATGGAGGCCATCTTGAAAAATGAAGAAAAGAGGTGACCTTTGAAGCCAGAGGCAGTAACAGAGGTATAATTATATGTAATAACAGATATATAAACACTTTCCCATGTTTCCTGTGCATAGTATATAAGAGTAGTACATAACTAGCAGTCTGGAACAATATAACTCCTTACTAGCTCCTGAATCTATCCAACACAGTGCCAAAAATTACTTGTATATATTATTTGATGACATATTTTACTACCTTATTTGTAAGTTTTTTTTCATGTTTATCTTAAGCTGCTGATTCTATAAACTTGTTAAAGTAATCTTTGATGCTTTGTTTTACTTAATAATTTTGTTCCAGGATACTTTAGAATTCATAGTGCAAAAAAATCATAGTTCCTTAATGGAACCAAAAGTTATTATTTTCAGCACCACTAAAGAAACATAACCACAAGGGCAAGATGAGATTGTTTATTTGAATAATTAATGTGCTTCTGGTTGTACTGTTTATATTTTTTTCTTACTGATAAGTATTCATATACTCATGATTGTGAAAAATCAGTTTAAAATGGGGAAATACTTTAAGCCCATAATTGTTATAGCTAAGGTTATTTATTGCTAATATGGCTTTCTAAGAATATTAATACTTCTACCTCTAGAGATTGTTAATATTATAGATACAATAGATACAATTTTGACTGACTTTAGGGTTTTAAGTCTGTAAACATACTTGAGAAATTTGTATTTCTCTAAATTTCATTAGCTTTCTAGAGTATAATTATAGATTTATTTGAGTATGTTATAGTTTTGCAAGTCGGCCGTTTTTAAATACAATAATGGGTATGTTTTTTTTTAAGTGATTTGTATTTTATATACAGTTGGTTTTTGTCAGTAATGTGCTCTGAGTATAAAAAAGTAATATATTGTAGGTGTAAGATGTGTTATTTAGTTTAATTTATAATTTGAGCACAAAGAGCTAATATTTGTCTAGTTCTGTGATCTATCATAACTTCCGGTGTATTTCTGTTATTCATGTTGGTCATATTTTTTCATTTGAGTCACTATTTCCTATAATAAATAGTTCTTTTACAGTCTCAATTTTCATTGCCAAAAGATATAATTAATATTTAATGTTCTTCACACTCTAAAATTCTTTGATTTTTATCCCAGGTAAATTTCTTCTTTTAACTTTTAGAAGAAGCTGTGTCTTTGTATATGGTGATAATCGCAATATAAAAAATTGGTAACTCTACACTCCTTGACTTGTGGAGAATTATAATTCAGGTCAACAGTGTGCCAATATGTAACTTCAAATTGGAGATGAATTAAATATAGTTTCTCTCTTCAAGGAATTTAAAATATAATAAACAGTTGCTGTAGCCCAGGAGTTTGAGGCTGCAGTGAACTATGAGTGCACCACTGCACTCCAGTCTGGGTGACGAGATGAGACCCAGTATTTTTTTTTTTTTTTTTTTTTTTTTTTGAGACAGAGTCTCACTCACTCTGTCACCCAGGCTGGAGTGCAGTGGTGCAATCTCGACTCCCTGCAACCTCTGCTCCCGGGTTCAAGCAATTCTCCTGCCTCAGCCTCCCGAGTAGCTAAGATTATAGGTGTGCGCCACCACACCCTGCTTATTTTTGTATTTTTGTAGAGACAGGGTTTCACCATGTTGGCCAGGCTGGTCTTGAACTCCTGACCTCAAGTGTCTGCCTGCTTCAGCCTCCCAGAGTGCTGGGATTACAGGCGTGAGCCACTGCGCCTGGCCAGGACCCCATCTTTAAAAGAAGAAAAGTGTAGTACATAATAGTTTAGTAAATAATATTTCAGAGCTGTTGCCCTTATAATAGTTTCTGTTCTACCAAATTTTTCTCTTTTGTACCCTAGGGCTTTAACTTATTTAGTTCTCCCTTAATCTACTCCTGATATTTAGATCTAAAGTTGAAAATCTAGTCATAAGCCTACCTTTAATGTGTATTTATTTATATTTTGCATCCAAGGGCCAATGTAATTGTGTATATAGGTGGCTTTGTCATTCGCACTATACTTTCTTTACTTACTCTTTTTATTATTGAGTAATTTGTTATTTTGAACAAGAATATTACTGTGCCACAGTTTTATTTTTTCATTAAGCATTATTATTAATTTTGTTTTCATCATATGCATATATCCAAGACATGAAAATAAGGAATTGTAATAAAATGCAAAGGTATTATTATATATGGGATTAAGGATATAATAATATTAATATTTTGATGAATGTCTGCATTTTAAATGTTCTTAACATTAACACACAGATATATTCTGTTAAGTGAGCTGGTTTTACATGTGCTACTTTGTGTGAATCTTTGGTATAATTTTGATTTAATAGGCATTTTATAGAAACAGATGGTCTTCATAGTTATTTATATGTTTCAGATTGCTAAGAAGCCTCGAACGCCAACCTCTGGTCCAGTAATCACGAAGCTGATCTTTGCAAAACCAATTAATAGTAAAGCAGTTACAGGACAGACAACTCAAGTTTCACCACCAGTTATTGCAGGTTATATTTCTTTATAGTTTATTAAGCTAAATATTTATCTTCCTTTTAGATTTAAAAAGGCTGTTCTGCCAACTTAAAATGTTTTAGTGTAACAAATATAGCTTATTATTATAAACCAGACTAGTTAATAAGAAGTGTTTGCTTCAAGCAAAATGCCTCATCTGAAAATCAGTTCATTACTTTAGTCTCCTTAGTTTTTGGTAGAAATTTACCATGATACTAGCAAAGTCTCAAACTCCAGTAATAGTAGCTAATATTTATACAGTGTTCACTGTGTGCTAGGCACCATTCTTAGCCCTTTACATATAGTGACTATATCATTCCCCAGCAATCCTATGAGGTAGGTACTAATAACATTCCCGTTTTGCCAGTGTGGAAGTGGAGGCATTCAGCTAGTAAATGGCTGAGCTGGAATTTGAACCCAGGCAATTTGTTTCTGGAGCACATGTGCTAACTTTAATAAATTTAAATTAATATTCACAAGAGTATAGTATTTCATGGTTTCTGTTTGAATTTTTGGTTTCAGTATTTTAATATACTCTATATGGAGTTCTCTGTAAACAGAAAATTGTCACAATAATAGTAATTACTTAAGTGGTAACAGAATTTTAGCTGAATTACTTTTACTAGAATACTCCTTAGTGTGGCCCAGTTCTCTTTTATACTTTAAAATTTGTCATCACCAATCACTATATCACCTCAGAAATCTTGACTTCAAGTGTTCGTTCTCTTTATTCTTTTAGTTTACTTGCCTTTCTACTCCCAATCCAGCAATTGACTTTGAATTTCTGGTCCATTGATTCTTCCACTTTCTCAGTAATCATTCCTTTCCTGTCCTCAAATTCTTCCTTCCTCAAGATGAAGTCCATGACCCATCCTATTGCTCTCTTGTAAACGCCATTGATTGTCTTTTTCCAGTCTCTTTCTCTAATGGCTTGGCTAAGTCCAACCCTCCTATTCCTTGTTTGGCTAGCAGCTCAAGTTTTTTAGAGAAAAGCACACAGCCAAGTGATTGGTCTTTAATCCAGAGCCATACTAAATGACTCTTTCACTAGTTATAGGATCATTTCTAATTTCTACTGTGCTAAAGGCTTATATGAAAGCACCTCTGGATGGTAAACTTTTGACTAGAGACTTTCAAATCCTAATTACCCATCCCTAGACTGTGTATTCTTGATGAGGGTACTCAAATATTAACTGATCATTCCTAGCATGTATATTAAAACCATCTGTCTTTAATAAATTTACAACATAGCGGTAGGCAACTTGGAAATCAGTGGCAGTGACTTGTCATTTTCCTGAGGCTTTGATTTGTATGTAGGCTTGATTTGTATTTGTATGTAGAGAGGCTTCTCATTTTAGCTAATGAGAAGAGATGGAAAAATTTAATGTGAAAGCAGTGTTAGGTGAGTGACTATTCTCTTTCTCTTGGTGCTCAGTAGAGATTTGTGACAGTATAGGAAGCTGATGTCTTGAGAGATGTCATGGGAGGCAGGGGGGCCCCAAAGAAAATACTGGAAAGGGTTTGGGTTTGGAGCTGATTTAGGAAGTGGGCTGCAGTTGGCTATAAGTAAACAAGGCTTGGAAGTATTTATGAAAAAGAAAACACCAGTCCCCTTGGAGATTTTTGTATAGGTAGAGGGGCTTAACCAGGAGTGTTTTAATGGGATGTTCTTTACTGTTTTGAGTCTCTGAAGAGACTCTGAGAGAGTCCCTGAAAAGTTTTAGTTAATGGGAAGGAGAAGGTATGGGTTGTATGGTAAACAATTGTGGTGTTCGCGGAAGTGTCTGAATGAATTTTTGGTTATTGTCAAGAGTTCACCGTGACTATCATAGACTTTTATAAATGTCATTGCTTGGTCTTTGGGTTGTTTATGTGTTGCAGACCGATTGTAACTTTATTTTTTAATTGTGCATGGACTTAATAGCCCTACCAGAATACATAGAGATATACTTCTGTTAAATTTTACTAGCATTGTTGGCATTAAGTTCAGTTTGGAGGGATAATTTCTACTTTTAACTAGTTCTTTATAACCTTTAAAAATTCACATATGCTAAATTTTAAACCACCAAAGTGCCTTTCTGTTGAATTGTATCACAAGGAGATTCCATCATCTTTATGTATACATTGCAGCTAAGACTGCAGTCTTTTTCCATGCAGCTAGTCTTTTTTTTAAGACGGAGTCTCGCCCTGTCACCGAGGCTGGAGTGCAGTGGTGCTATCTTGGCTCACTGCAACCTCCGCCTCCTGGGTTCAAGCGATTCTCCTGCCTCAGCCTCCCGAGTAGCTGGGATTACAGGCGCCCACCACCACAACCAGCTAATTTTTGTATTTTTAGTAGAGACGGGGTTTCACCATGTTGGCCAGGCTGGTCTCGAACTCCTGACCTTGTGATCCACCTGTCTTGGCCTCCCAAAGTGCTGGGACTACAGGCATGAGCCACTGCGCCCTGCTAGCTAATGCTCTTTCAAAGTACCTTGAGATTTTTTTTTTTTTTTTGATGATTTTTGGGCTTCTCATTGAAGATGACTATCTTTTTCTATGTTTCAGTCAAGATGATTTTATATTTGTGTATAAGCGATTTTTCTAAAATGCAAATCTGAACTTGTCATACCCTTGCTTAAAATTTTCTTGGCCTTGTTCATTTCTTCACCTGGACCCATCAGGATTAAGTTCAAATGCCAGTGCTTTCTTAGCATTAAAGGCATTTAGGATCTAATGCATGCCTTTTGATTTTCACCTTCAAAATAGTAGCTCCAAACCTACTGATTTAACTTATTGTAAGAGATCACCATATGGATCTAAACTAAGTTGTAGGACTAAGGGTCTTGGCAAGGTTCCTTTTACATGGAATGCCTTTCTTTGCCGTTCCTTGCGGCTGACTCATCCATTTTATCTCTTAGATTACCCATCTTGGAAGTTTTTGACTTCTAGGTTTAATCAGATACTCTTTCTCTGATCATTTCCTATTTATTTCCATAAAACTTGGTTATACTTACCAAGTACTTATCTTAAACTTCTGTTAAATTTCACACTGGCTTTGAGTTATCCATTAGTCATACTGTATTATAAATCTTGGTTTTCTTGTCTGTCTCCCCATACCCCTTATGATTTTTCATGATGGTAGTTTTTTTTGTTTTTTTGTTCATCTAGCTCTCTTTTTTTTTTTAGATGGAGTTTTCGCTCTTTTTGCCCAGGCTGGAGTGCAATGGCGCGATCTCGGCTCACTGCAACATCCGCCTCCTGGGTTCAAGTGATTCTCCTGTCTCAGCCTCCTGAATAGCTGGGATTACAGGTGCCTGCCACTATGCCCGGCTAATTTTTTGTATTTTTAGTGGAGACGGGGTTTCACCATGTTGGCCAGGCTGGTCTCGAACTCCTAACCTCAGCTAATCCGCCCACCTCAGCCTCCCAAAGTGCTAGGATTACAGGCATGAGCCACCGCGCCTGGCCTCATCATGTAGTTCTTTTAAAAAACTTATTTTTAAAAAATTGTGGTAAGATATACATAACACAAAATTTACCATCTTAACTTTTTTTTTTTTTGAGATGCAGTTTCACTCTGTCACCCAGGCTGGAGTGCAGTGGCGTGATCTCAACTCACTAAGTGATTCTCCTGCCTCAGCTTCCCAAGGAGCTGAGACTACAGGCACACTCCACCACATCCGGCTAATTTTTGTATTTTTAGTAGAGAAGGGGTTTCACCATTTTGGCCAGGCTGGTCTTGAACTTATGACCTCAAGTGATCCACCTGCCTCAGCCTTCCAAAGTGCTGGGATTACAGATGTGAGCCACTGCACCCAGCCTCATGTTAACTGTTTTAAGTGTATAGTTCATTGGCATTAAGTACATTCACATTGTTATACAACCATCACCACCATCCCGTCTCTAAAACTTTTTCTTTTTGCAAAACTGAAATCTTGTGCCCATTAAACAAAAACTCCTTATTCTTCCTTCCCCAATCCAGCTTCCGGCAGCCACCATCCCACTTTTGTATCTACGTTTTTGCTTTTTTTTTTTTTTGAGACAGTCTGTCACTCTGTCACTCAGGCTGGAGTGCAGTGGTGTGATCTTGGCTCACTGCAACCTGTGCCTCCCGGGTTCAAGTGATCCTCCTGCCTCAACCTCCCAAGTAGCTGGGATTTAAGATGGAGTCTCAGTCTGTCGCCCAGGTTGGAATGCAGTGGTGCGATCGTGGCTCACTGCAACCTCTGCCTTCTGGGTTCAAGTGATTCTCTTGCTTCAGCCTCCCAAGTAGCTGGGATTACAGGTGTGTGCCATCACGCCCGGCTAATTTTTGTATTTTTAGTAGAGATGGTGTTTCACCACGTTGGCCAGGCTGGTCTCGGACTCCTGACCTCAGGTGATCTGCCCACCTCGGCCTCCCAAAGTGCTGGGATTACAGGTGTGAGCCACCACGCCCAGCCATTGCCCTTTTTTTTTGATTGGCTTATTTCACTTAGCATAATGTCCTTAAGGTGCATTTGTGTTGTAGTATATATCAGAATTTTCTTTTTAAGGCAGAATTATGTTCCAATGTATTTATGTATGTACTGTATTGATGGTTCTTTTATCTTGTTTCTCTCACTCTTTCTCTTTCTCCTCTGTCCCCACCTTCCCAGAACCTAGCACAATTTTTGGCACCTTTTTTTTTTGGTTTGTTTGTTTTTTTGAGAGGGAGTTTTGCTCTGTCACCCAGGCTGGAGTGCAGTGGTGCGATCTCGGCTCACTGCAAGCTCCGCCTCCTGGGTTCACGCCATTCTCTTGCCTCAGCCTCCCAAGTAGCTGGGACTACAGGTGCCTGCCACCACACCCAGCTAATTTTTTGTATTTTTAGTAGAGATGGGGTTTCACCGTGTTAGCCAGGATGGTCCCAATCTCCTGACCTCGTGATCCACCCTCCTTGTCCTCCCAAAGTGCTGGGATTACAGGCATGAGCCACTGTGCCCTGCTCCTATTTTTGGCACTTTGATGTAGTTCTGTGAATGCATATTGTTGCATGAATATGTATATCATGGAGGCACTATAGTGATACAGTAGGAGCTATTGGGAAACTTGGGTTTTCAGTCATGGGTCTTCTGTTGATTTTCTCTATGATCTTCGGTAAATACATTATTTTGTTCATCTTAGTTTAGTAAAATGTAGATACCAGCCACCTGACAAGACTTGAAATGGTTACATGAGATAATAGAGGTTCTCATTATCACACCTCTCAAGGTAGAAGGTTGCTTCATGGGAGCAAGCTTCATCACAATGTAAAATTAATCTCTTAAAGAATTTGGCCTTACTCAAATATTCTAGCTTCCTGCCCCAGCCTATTCAATATGTGGCTTTATGGAGTGTGTCTCTTTTGATTCTTGGAGAATACCTGACAACAGAAATTAATTTCAAGGTCAAATTATGTAACTTGCATGCTTGCTTGAATCAGTGGAACTAAGGATAAATAGGGATTTGGAGGTTAGATTAGATAATCAGAAATGCTACCAGGATGAAAACCAAGCAGACCCTCAAAAAGAATAACTTGAATTTCAAAGGATATCAAGGTTCTTGGGAAAATTGATGAAATCTAGAAATATTTTGGTAGAAATGACCTGCTTTATGAGTATGTTGTGCCCATTTATCATTATCGACATAATTTATCATTTTGCTGTCGTCCAAATTTTCAGAAGCAATCTCTCTCCCCAAAACTCAACAGCTGATTTTTTTCTTTGTTCATCTTAAGAGTTAGTATAGTTGCAATTATAAACTGAATTTTTAAAAAACGTAGGCCACAGAAAGATAGTAAAAGTTTTATTACTTTTAGTTTTGTAATTTATAATGAAACTTTTGTTCCTGTTTTAAGTGAATTAACATCAAGTTGCCTTTTTCTGATACCAGTTATCCTCAGGAATTGCGGATTTTCTGTATGAATTTTTTTTTTTTTTTTTTTTTTTAGAGGGATTCTTGCTCTTGTTGCCCAGGCTGGAGTGCAATGGCGCAATCTCAGCTCACTGCAACCTCTGCCTCCCGAGTAGCTGGGATTATAGACGCACGCTACCACGCCTGGCTAATTTTTGTAGTTTTAGTAGAGACGGGGTTTCACCATGTTGGCCAGGCTGGTCTCGAATTCCTGACCTCGTGATCCACCTGCCTCGGCCTCCCAAAGTGCTGGGATTACAGGCGTGAGCCACTGTGTCCAGCTCTATATGAATATTATTTGAAAGATATGTAATTCCTAACACATGAAATTATAGCAGTGGCTATAAATAATGAACATTTTATGAAACTGTGTCTTTACTGGTAATTTCTTTTCTTAACAGAATGGTTATTGGGGCTTCATACTTATCTCACAGGTATTAGCTTTGGAAACCAGAATAGACAAACATGTTACTTTAGGCAGGCTGAATACTTTAGGGCGGCTCTCTAAACCTATTTGATGTAGATTCGTTTGGTTTATTTAGAATTGACTTTATGTAATTATGATGTATTCAGGTTTTTAAAAAACCTGGCAGAATGTCATTAAAATTAATCTATGTACTACAAAGAAATTTTGAAAATTGTATTGAAAATACTTTAAAAATTCATAGATGGGGATAAAACTTGATTCACTTTTTAAAAAAGAAACTGTGCCAGCCTGGGCAACATGACAAAACTCCATTGTCTAAAAAAAATAAAAAAAAAATAGCTAAGCATGGTGGCACGTGCCTGTGGTCCCAGCTACTCAGGAGGCTGAGATGGGAGGATCATTTGAGCCCAGAAGTTCAAGGCTGCAGTGAGCTATGATCACGCCACTGCATTCTAGCCTGGGTGACTGAGGGAGACCCCTGTCTCAAAACAAAACAAAACAAAAGGCATACTTTGGCATTGTTGTCAGGAAAAATGGCCCAGAAGCTGCTAAGCATTAGTTCTTTATTTTTGTCTAAAGTGAAAGTCCCTTCTTTCTCTCTTTCCCTTTCTCCTCACTGTCATGCTCTCTCCTTCATCTCTAGCTGGATCTATGAGTTTAATCATAGTATCTAAAGGTTAGAGCAGATTCTAGAGATAATTTAGTTATCAATCTTCTCTACTTCTTAGATGCTTGACTTTCCTCTTTAGCCGGTATATTTGATTATCCAGCATCTGCCTGGGACACCTTTAGTGACTAGAAACTCACTTGTGTTGAAATAGTCATTTCAGTTGGAAATTTTTGTTAGAAGTTCTTTCTTAGTGCTGAGCTGAAATATTTTCTGTTTCTCTGCATTTGATGTGATACAGATTGGTTCTAATCCTTTAACCTGACAGCCTGGATCAGTTAGGATAATCTTGGTTTTTCTGCCAAAATAATCTCCAAACCTCAGAAGGGTAAAAAACCTGTTTTTTTTTTTTAAATTCAATTTAAAAAAAATTTAAAAATTGATTATCTATATGACCATTGTGGGTTCAAAAAGGTATCTTCTCTTCATAGCAACTCAGGGACACAGGCTAACCAAGGAGCCGCCATCTCAGATGGCAGAGGAAAATAAACTTTGGAAGGTCTTGCATAGGCAGTAATAAATGCTGTGGCCCAAGAATGACACACGTCACTTCTACTCATAACTCGTCTGCCAGGAGTAGTGACATGACTCTAACTTAACTACAAGATGGGGTGGGAGTGGTAGGAAGTGCAAGTGTAGTTCTACCATGTGTCCAGAATGGAAGAAAGCTAGAATACTTGGTGAATGGGAATAATGGCTATCACACAGTCTTCAAGAATTTGAAGATCTGTTATGTCTTTGTAGTCTTTTCTTACCTAGGATAAAAATTCCTGATATTTCAACTCAATGTAATATGGTTTTCAGTTCCCCAAGCATCCAGACACTAGAGTTTTTCATGGTTGTTCCTGAAGGGTCTTGTCCAGAAGGGAACACAATATGGAATCTGGCCGGGGTGGGTAGAAAAAACATTTTTTTATCCCCTTTGGCAGTCTAAAATCAGGTAGTATTAAACCTTTCAGTGTTTAAGTTAGTCCAATAACTATCTGTTTTATAAGTGTGGATTTCAATTGTACCTTCATGGTTTAAGTTCATATGGGAAGACAGCTATAGATAGTAGAATACAGAGATTGAAGTTTTAAGACTTGGGTTCATGTTCTGACTTTCAGGAGCTGTGTTACACAGGGCACATTACTTAGTTGCCCTGAGCTTTCTCTCTGATGGATATAACAACAGTATTGATGAACACATGAACTAAACTGTTTTTGTAGAGTTTAATGTAAGCTGATATTAAGTATTACTAAGAAGTAGTGTTTTGTTTAGTTCTGCCTAGGTTTACCATAGTTCATTAGTGCCTCATTAAGTGTTGACATGAAATAACAAACATACATTCTGCAGTCCTTGTGAGTGTAGAGCATCATCACATAAATTTTTATACTATTATTGAAAAAAGTCAAACTGATGTGCTGCCTCTCATTTGCAGGTAGGGTTCTTTCACAGTCTACTCCCGGAACTCCATCAAAGACCATAACAATATCTGAAAGTGGTGTTATTGGATCAACTTTAAATTCTACAACACAGACACCAAATAAAATAGCCATCTCACCTTTGAAATCGCCAAATAAGGTAAAAAAATAAATTAGCCACAAATACCAAATATTGTGGTTGATGCCTTTATTTTCTTACTAGTCACTTCAGATACTTCAATTTTAGTACATTCCCAAGCAAGTAATAGACATTCAATGAATACTGGATTAATTTAGTAATCAAGGATGTCTGACAGATTAAAAAGCTTACTTTAAACACATAGTAACATAGTAATCATTTTGCATGTGAATATGATTTCCATAGCCCATATGAATGTGGGTACAACAAAATCTTGAATAAATTCAATAATGTAGGTGTTTAGTTCTTCTTTAGTTAATATTTTAGCAAAATTATTGTATTTGTGGAAGGTACATATAGACTTATGATATAAAATATTAAATGTAACTTTAAAAAATGGAGATCTGAACTTTTGCTTGGTAACAGGACCCAGAGTAGTAGAAATTGCCATCAGATGCTGGTAGCCATATTATCAGTGTTGTTTAAGCTTGAATACATTTTATTGGAAGCATTCAAATGCTTTCTTATTTTATTGTGAGGCAAAGTAAGTCATCTAACTCACTTTCCTAAAACATACAGTTGTTATTATACCAGCATAACATTTTGAAAAAGATATGTTTTAAAGGACATATTATTCAGATAGAAAGCCAAGCATTATTATTTTGTTAGGTTTCACGCTTGTGACTCTGGAAACAATACTGCCCTTTGCACCTGCTTTCTTTGATTTGTTACTGTTCATAAATAGAACAAACGTTAAACATTTGCCTTACATTTTTTAAAGTCCAGGTGTTGGTTTCTTTAATGAGCCTTGACTATAATGTACAAATATGTTATCTCATACAGTTTATTAAGGTCAAATTCTACCTGCATAACTTTTTCCCTAAATTGAATGAATTTGGCAGAAATTTGAGGGTAACTGTGCCATGCATAGTGATAGGCACTGAGGATAAAACATGAATAAGATAAGGTATTTCATTTCAAGGAATTCAATAAGGTAGTTAGACTGAAACATTAAAAATTGTCCTACAGAATTACAATGGTCATAGATGGATTAATGACTGCTGTGTGTTTGGCAGGGAAGGTTTATACAAAGGAGCTTATTCTTGAAAGGTCTTAACCTTAAACGTGGGTTGGACTTAGCTCCAGATGAGCAGAAGGGGATTTCTGGATTGAGGTGATACTTTACATAAAGGTGTAAAAGTGTGGTCTTTCAGGAAGCCTCACTGATTTTTGCAGTGTGAGAGCCGAGGGTGCTAAGGTTAGATGGACGGTTTCTTTATCTTCAGGGGAGTTTGGACTTCTGTGGCTTCTCATTGCTTCTAGGACAGTGATTCTCGCCCTTATCTGCTTATTGGGATCACCTGGAGAGTTTTAATAAATACCGACGCCTAGTTCTCATCCCCAGAGATTCTGTTTTCATCTCTCCAGACTTGACCTGGTATCAGGATTTTACAAAGCTCTTTAAGTGATTCTAGTGGGTAGCCTAGATTGGGAACCACTGCTATAAATAATATGAAATTTGCATTTTTAAAAATACGAATCTTGTGGCATTATGAGAGATAGTTTGGGGGAAGGTGAGCCTGTATTGTGGGAGAGACCAGTTAGGTTAGTGATTCTCAACCTTGGCTGCAGTTAGTACTGGGGACCTCTTGAGAAAACTAATGGCAGGCCCCTACCTGACCCCATTTAAATCAGAATCTCTAGGCTGCGGCCTGTGTGTTAAATTTAATCTTTTAAAAGTGTAGGCCAGGGTAGAGAATCACTAAGAGATTATTGCAGTACTTCATGTTTGAACTACACTAGTAGCTCAGGGGCTAAAGAGGAAGAGAGATGTGTTGAAAGAGGTTCAGTATCTTAGGGGGAGAATCTAGGATGACTCCTGTATTTCTGACTTAGATAACGGGGTAGATGGTAGCCCTATGGACTAATTTGACTGGTATATGGTTTATACCTGATGACATACGAATAGGAACTGGCTTTATTTTTTTCCCATCCTTGACTTTAGCCCTGCCATATTGGATCTTCCTTTCTTGACTCTTGGCAAGATTTTACACTTAACTATAAGAACAAGCTTGTTTTAGTCTGAGACCAGCCTGACCAACATGGAGAAACCCTGTCTCTACAAAAAAAATACAAAATTAGCTGGGCTTGGTGGCACATGCCTGTAATCCCAGCTACTCGGGAGGCTGAGGCAGGAGAATTGCTTGAACCCAGGAGGTAGAGGTCGCGGTGAGCTGAGATCCTGCCATTGCATTCCAGCCTGGGCAACAAAAGCGAAACTCTTGTCTCCAGAAAAAAAAAAAACAAAAAACAAAAACAAGCTTGTTTTGGTTATTAAAATTCACAGGTGTGAAATGTACAGTCAAAAGCTTACATCCGGTTGAAAGCTTATCTATCGTTCAGGTGAGATCTAACCATGGCTCAGGGATTCGCGGTGGAGAAGAGGAGCATGATCTGTTTCGTCACTCTTCAACCTCCTCTCCCTTTCTGATTTTGTCTTCTGATCAGAAGGAAGATTAAAGGAGAAAGGACAAGGTTTTGTTTGACTGAGACTATTGTAATCCAGCTTCTGGTGCCCTCTGTGTGACAGGTGTCCAAATGTGGACTTAATGGAGATATTCACTCAGGATGGTTTTTTTGGAGCCCTTCCTGTGGGTTATTGCCACATTGCCAAGTTCCCTGTCAGGGATATGGTGTACTCTCCAGCTGCCTTTTGCAGCCTCCCTTTAGCTCTTCATTCCTGTAGTCTACGTCTGGCACTCCTGAGTACCTTTACTCCAGAAGGTACATGGCTTTGGCAGGGTCCCATCAAGATGTCTTAGCCCTTCTGCAGCATCTACATGGCCAGTGGGAAACTTCTAGAACCCAGTGGTAAAAGTGCAGCTTGCCTAACTGCTGTCCTCTAAATCTTTGCCCTACCATTGTGACAGCTGCAGCCATCTTCTTTCTTGCAGAATTTTCCAGGCTGGGACCAGTTTCTGTGTTCACATATTCTCTGAATAAACTCTTGAGGATATCTGTCAGGTTATCCCAGGAACTCTCGCTGCATTTAGTTCTGGTGGTTAAACCAAGATACAGCTAAGTTTCTTTTTTCCTTTTTTTTCTTTTTTCTTTTTTTTTTTTGAGATGGAGTCTTGCTCTGTCACCAGGCTGGAGTGCAGTGGCGCCATCTCGGCTCACTGCAACCTCCACCTCCTGGGTTCAAACAATTCTCCTGCCTCAGCGTCCCGAGTAGCTGGGATTACAGGCATGTGCCACCACCCAGCTAATTTTTCTATTTTTAGTAGAGATGGGTTTTCACCATGTCGTCCAGGAGGGTCTCGATCTCCTGACCTCATGATCTGCCTGCCTCGGCCTCCCAAAGTGCTGGGATTACAGACGTAACGGCTAAGCTTATTTATCTTAATAAGTTGATAGCCAAAAAAGATTCAGATGTCGGGGCTGGGTGTGGTGGCTCATGCCTGTAATCCCAGCACTTTGGTAGGTTGAGGTGGGCAGATCACCTGAGACAGGAGTTCGAGACCAGCCTGGCTAACATGGTGAAACCCTGTCTCTACTAAAAATACAAAAACTAGCTGGGCATGGTGGCACATCCTAGCCACTTGGAAGACTGAGGCAGGAGAATTGCTTGAACCGGGGAGGCGGAGGTTGCAATGAGCTGAGATTGTGCCACTGCACTCCAGCCTGGTTGACAGAATGAGACTGTCTCAAAAAGTAAACGAAACCAAAAAAACCTAAAGATTCAGATGTCAGTTTCTCCTTGCAGTTGTCACCTACTCTGTCTCAGAGGTGTTTTTTTTTGTTGGTTTTTTTTCCCCCCTCACTGAGATGTAAAGCCCTGGCATTCTCCATGTTTGCAAATTCTCTTCTATTTCTGTCTTTTTTTTTTTTTTAATAGGAGGTAGATGATAGGGATACCATCGTTTAGTAAGTCTGGCATGGATGTCCTTTTTAGAGTGTGCAGGAGTTTGTCATTTTTTGTTTAGCTTTGGGGCCTCACTTCAGCCAGATTCTGAGATAGCAGAAAATATCCCATCCTATCTCATACTAGAATATAGCAGTACTATAGGCTTGGGCAGAGAGATGTTTAGTTTTTGGACATTTTTGTCATTGAAGTACCCACAGATTATCTAGACGAGGATGTCCATTGTGAAACTGAATGTAGGCAGTCACTGAAACTATGGATATAGATGAAATCACCCAAGGAGCATCAGATTGTATGTAGAGCGAAAAGAAAAGCAGGACTGAACCATAAAATACTAAGTGTTAGTAGAAGAAAAGGAGCCAGTGGGAGAGAGTAAATGATAAGGGGGTTATTAGTAGAAACTAAACAAAATGTGAAGGGAAGATAATTTCAAAAAGGATACTAGGCCACAATTTCAAATGTCATAGAAAAGTCAATTACGAAAATGACTAAAAAGTGAGGATTTGCTGAAGATCTCCTTGTTTCTATTGATAGAGGCCAAAAGGAAAGCTGAAGCACTCACCCTTCCCTACCCACCAGCACTCAACAGTCTCACTGCTATCTGCCTTGAGTCTGCTGAGACTCCTCTCATTATTTATCTTTGTTGATACTGGGTAGCCTCAACCACCCCGACTGAGATCATCTTTCATCTCCCGCATCTAATCTCCTTAAAGCTCTTGCTATCTTCTGACCCCTTTTCCACCCATGCCTCTCTTGAAGTCCTTCCACTGTGCCTTTTCTGGAGTTCATAATCAAAATAATAATTCCCTAAATTCACAACCTTTTCATTGAATGTTCCTTTTATCTCCTTGCTGTAATGGATACCTGGGTCTCCCTGAGGACCCTGCTTCACCTGCAGACCTATTAAGTGATAGCTCTTTTTCTCCTTCAGCTCTTATGCCTCCAGGCCTGGAAGCCTAGGTGTTTCCCATGATTATTCTCATTACAATTTCAGACTGTTTTCACTCCCTCCTCCAGCTTTGAATCTAATGTTACTAGGTTTGTTGTTGGGAAATCAAGCATGGCTAGTGTTTTCTCAATTTACTTTATATTGTAATTGTCTCTTATTACAGGACAGATTTATTCTATTATATTTATTTTCTAAAGTAATCCTCGGTTTTCTTCAATATTTATTAGATATGCAACTAAGCATTAAACTAATAAAAATGTGATTCTGCTTGTTTTACTTTATTCTTGATTAGATTTTAGCAATGCTGTTATCTTTTACTTTAATGTGACTTTTGTAATCTTATTCTTAGACTCTTAGTATTATTTTTTACATGGCCCTTTTCAATTTCTCTCAGAAATACAAGAAATACAGCTTTCTTCAAAATTTTTCTTTAAAAAAAATTTATTTTTTCTTGAAGATGGAGTATTTTTTCTTGAAGACGGACTCTCACCTCTGTTGCCCATGCTGGAGTGCAGTGGCGCGATCTTGGCTCACTGCAACCTCTGCCTCCCGGGTTCAAGTGATTCTCCTGCCTCAGCTTCCCCAGTAGCTATGCCACCATGCCCGGCTAATTTATATATTTTTAGTAGACATGTAGTTTCGCCATGTTGGCTAGGCTGACCTCAAGTGATCTACCCAACTCAGCCTCCCAAAGTGCTGGGATGACAGGCATGAGCCACTGCACCGGCCTTTTAAATTTTTTTCTTTTTTTTCTTTTTTTTTGAGCAATAAAGCTTTTTAATCACCTGGGTTAAATTTTTTTTCATTCACTTAACAGCAAGCTCATCCTTAACAAAGTAGCTTAATAGCCAAAAATCTATCCATCTAATTTACAATAATAGAAAAAGAATTTTATGACAGTCTTAATACCTGCAGAAGAATCCTGATATCCAACCTCCATTTTGGT
Source organism: Homo sapiens (assembly GCF_000001405.40). Classification (NCBI taxonomy): domain Eukaryota; kingdom Metazoa; phylum Chordata; class Mammalia; order Primates; family Hominidae; genus Homo; species Homo sapiens. The sequence continues at coordinate 82,964,527 of NC_000004.12, read as the reverse complement.
TGAAATACTTGAACCCACAAAAATAGAAGGACACTTTCATAATTTGAAAAGGGAGAAAAATATATCAAACTTTATGTAATGGTACAGTGTTGAACAAGGATTCCCACTTTCAATACTTGTTTAATTCTACTGCAGGTCTGAATTAATGCAATAAGGCAAGAAAAAAGAGTAAGTGGCTGGGGGGCATGGTGGCTTACACCTGTAATCCCAACACTTTGGGTGGCCGAGGCGGGAAGATCATTTGAGGTTAGGAGTTTGAGACCAGTCTGGCCAACATGGTGAAACCCCATCTCTACTAAAAATACAAAAATTACCCAGGTGTGGTGGCACACGCCTGTAGTCCCAGCTACTTGGGAGGCTGAGGCAGGAGAATTTCTTGAATCTGGGAGGTGGAGGTTGCAGTGAGCCAAGATTGTACCGCTGCACTTCAGCCTGGGCAACAGAGTGAGACTCCGTCTCAAAAAAAAAAAAGGAGGGAGGGAGGAATAAGTGTATAGAGGTTCAAAAGAAAGTTAAAAAATGTCATAATTCACATATTACATTATTATATACATAAAAAATTAAGGCATTTACTATGGAACTATTAGAATTAATGTATAAATTATAAATTTAGCAAAGTGATTATATAACATGGTCAATATAAAAATATTTTAAACCCTTTATATTTAATGTAATTGTTGATATGATTGGATTTAAATCTTGCACCTTACTAGTTTTCTCTTTGTCTCATCTTTATGTTCTTTCTTTAACTGTTTTCCTGCCCTTTTTTGGTTAATTGAAGTTTTTCATGATTCTATTTTATCTCCACGTTTGGCTTGTTATAAGTACAAAGATTTTTTTTTTTTTAGTGGTTGCTCTACAATCAAATATACATTTTGACTTATCACAGTCTACTTTCCAATTTATATTACTTAATGTAGGGTAAGAAACTTACAATAGAGTGTTTCCGATTTCTCCCTCCTGTTCTGTATGCTATTGTTGTTAAACATTTTATGTTTACATGTTATAAATTCCATAACCCATTTTACTGTTTTAGCTTTAGACAAAATTACCTTGTGAAGCAATTGAAAATAAGAAAAACAAGTCCTTTATTTGCTTTCATTTTAACCATATCCTATATACTTCCTTGCTTTGGGTAGGTCCAAATCTCAGGCTGGTGTCGAATTCATCTCTAAAGAACTTTTTAAAATGTTTCTTTTAATGAAAGACTACTGACAATAGATTCTCTCAGCTTTTGCTTGTTTGAAAAATTTGTATCTTGCCATTATTTTTAAAAGATATTTTCATTGGGTAAAGAATTGAGAGTTTTTCTGCGAGTACTTTAAAGATGTCATTTATTGCCTTCTGGATTGCATTGTTTCTGGCAAGAAGTATACTGTAATTTTTAATACTTTTTTCTATGTATATAATGTCTTTTTTTTTCCTGTTTTCAAGATTTTCTCTTTATATTTGGATTTCTGCGTTTGGACTATTGTGTGTCTAAATGTGCGTTGTGTGTTTTGTTGTTGCTCATTTCTTTTTTAAATATATATTCTGATTTGAAATCTTCTTGGATCTATGATTTGATGTCTTTTACTTTCAGAAAACTTGGGTCACTTTTCTTCAAATAGTTCTTAAACTTAACTTTGATCTTCTCATTTTAAGAGTTCAGTTTTAAAGATTTTAGTATATTTAATAGAGTTCCACAGCTCTTGGATGCTCAATTGTTTTTCTCCCTAGTTTTTTTTTTCTTTGTGTTTCAATTAATATAATTTTGATTGACATATCTTTAAATTTATTGATTATTTTCTCAGTTGTTTGGAGTCTACAAATATGCTTATTAAAGACTTCTTCATTTGTGATTTTTTTTTTAATTTCTAGCATTTTCATTTGGCCCTTTTTTTATTTATGCTATCTACTCATCTGTCAAGCTACCATTTGACTCTTAGAGTTCCCATCTCTCTGCTGAAATTCCTTTTATATTCATTATCTGTTGTCCGTCTTTTCTACTAGCTTGATTAATTAATCATAAAGTTCTTATATGATGGTTGTAACATCTGGATCATCTCTGAGTCTGGCTCTCATTTTATTACTAGAATGTCCGTCTGGATTTTAAGTTTAAAAATAAATTTTTTTAAGTTTATACCACTGCAGTAGAGAAACCATATTCTATTAAAAGTAGGTAACTTAGTGCAAAGAGTGAATCCAGGTCAGTGATTCATACCAAAACTGATTAGAAAAAGTTGAACTTTTAGAGCTGAAATTCAAGGGAATATAAAGGTCTGCTTTGGTTCTGTGGGATTGGGTCAAATAAATGAGGGTTAAGCCAGATGTAATGGCACACACTTGTAGTTCCAGCTACTTGGAAGGCTGGGGTGGGAAGATTGCTTGAGTCCAGGAGTTCAAGGCCAGCCTGGGCAACATAGCAAGACTCTATATCCAAAAAAAGAAATTAGGGTTAGGTTCCTAGAGAGCTCTTTCTTTCCCATTCGTAAAAGTCTTATGGTGGGTAAATACTCCTAAAATGTAAGGCCTGGTCATACTTTGTGTAATGTTGGATGAATAAATGTGTTTTTTCTTTTTTTTTTTTTTTGAGACAGAGTCTCACTCTGTTGCCCAGACTGGAGTGCAGTGGTGCCATCTTGGCTCACTGCAACCTCCGCCTCCAGGGTTCAAGCGATCCTCCTGCCTCAGCCTCCCAAGTAGCAGGGACTACAGGAATGTGCCACTACAGCCTGGCTAATTTTTTTGTATTTTTAGTAGAGACGGGGTATCACCATGTTGACCAGACTGGTCTCAAACTCCTGACCTCAGGTGATCCGCCCGCTTCAGCCTGTCAGTGCTGGGATTACAGGCGTGAGCCACCACGCCTGGCCTTCTTAATGTTTTCATGGTGAACAGAAATGCATCTTTAGAAAATCCTTCTTTTTACTTTTGAGAGTCTATGCAAATTATCCTGGACATCCTTACATATGCTTCATATTAGTTTTGCTCTCCTACCCAGTGGAGAACTCTTTTTTTTCAGCCTTTATTTTTGCAACAAATCTTTCCTGTTTGTCTGGCCTATGGTAGGTAATGAACCGTCACATAGCCATTTTGAATGAAGAATGTACTTGACTGCCATGTGAAGAATTTCAGGGCATAAGCTGTGTACAGAAGGTTAAGTAAAAATTTTTTACTTCTCTGATTTCTGTGACCAATATATCTTCTTGAACTCCTCCTACTTCTAGGTCTCGTAGCTTGAGTAGAATTCTTTGAAGCTTCTGTAATTCTAGATTCAACATTGGGCTGTAGTTGCATTATCATATATGTCTATCCATACTTCCATCTATTAATCATCTTTTGTTAAAATGTACTTCAAAGTAAGTTGCACATATTTAATACACTTCTCTCCAAATAGCCCATCAAGTATATCAACTAGACTTTACTATGTGTTCAAAGGAATTTTTTTTTTTAGGTTCAAAAGAAAAATTTTTTAAAAATTTATTTGAAACAGGATCTCACTCTGTCACCCAGGCTGGAGTGCAGTGGCGTGATCGTGGCTCACTGCAACCTTGACTTCCTGGTCTGAAGTGATCCTTCTGCCTCAGCCTCCTGAGTAGCTGGGAATACACGCACATGCCTCACACCCAGCTAATATTTGTATTTTTTGTAGAGATGGGTTTTTACCATGTTGCCCACGCTGGTCTTAAACTCCTGGGTTCAAGCGACCTACCTGCCTCAGCCTCCCAAAAGTGCTGGGATTACATGTATGAGCTACCACGCCTGGCTGGTAAAATTTACTTATACACTGAAATACACTAATCTTAAAGGTACCACGGGATGAATTCAGATAAAATGCATACATCTGTGTAAACCAAAACTTTATTAAGGCATAGACTGGGCACCAGGAGTTTGAGACCAGCCTGGGAACATGATGAGACCCCACCCCTGTACAAAAATAAAAACTTAGCCAGGTGTGGTGGTGTGGGCCTGTAGTCCTAGCTACTCGGGAGGCTGAAGCAGGAGGATGGTTTGAGCCCAGGAGGTTGAGGCTGCATTGAGCCACAATTGTACCACTTCACTCCAACCTGGGTGATGGAGTGAAACCTTGTCTCAAAAAAAAAAAGGACAATTGAGATGCAATGGCTCATACCTGTAGTCCCAACGCTTTGGGAGGCTGAGGTGGCAGGATTGTGAGAGGCCGAGACCATCTTAAGCAACATAGTGAGATCCCAACTCTACACACCGCTGGTGTGTGCCTGTAGTGTCCTAGCTACTCGTGAGTTTGAGGCAGGAGGATGGCTTGATCCCAGCAGTTTGAGGTTACAGTGAGCTCTGATCATGCCACTGTACTCTAGTCTGGATGACAGAGCAAGACTGTCTCAAAAAAAAGAAAGTGATTTCACCCAGGTAGTGAATAATTAAAAAACATTTTTCCTAACCATTTATGAATGTATCAGGATAAAAAAGGCACCTATCATTTGATATGTTTTGGTAAAAAAGCTTTTTTGATAAATTTCCTAGAAATTGAGAAAATGAATGACTGCAGATTATTATAGTTCAGATAGGTTTCAATCTTTATCTTCTGCCAAGTTGAAGGAAGACTTAAGTGAGTTCTCACATAATTAAGAATAATTTTTTCAACTTCTTAAAAATAATTTGTGATGGTAGAACATAATGTAATTTTTGGTATAAGACTCAGAAGGAATTAAAAATATTAATATATTATTACAATAAAAATCCTGTTCATACATACTTATCTGTGAGAACAATGTTTTTCAATGTTTATAATTGTGAAAAATAGGAATATAATTGTTGCTGAGTTCTTACTCTAGCTACATGTAATATCTGTGGACACAAGAAGTAATTTTTGTGTCATCATCTATCTAGTAAGAGATGCATTTCAATAAAATTTTTAATGTTGTAGTATATTTGTACAAATTGTTATTTCCATTGCTTTGGTTAATTGCATACAGTAATTGTATTGTTAACTCCATCAGATGAAATAATTTTGAGCAATGTTTTGTTTTTTGGTTTTGGGGTTTTTTTTGTTTTTGTTTTTGTTTTTTTCCAAGATTGGGTCTTGCTTTGTCACCTAGGCTGGAGTGCAGTGGTGTGATCATAGCTAATTATAGCCTCAGACTCCTGGATTGAAGCAATCCTCTTGCCTCAGCCTCCTGAATAGCTAGGGCAACAGGTATGCACCACCATGCCCAGCTAATTAAAAAAATTTTTTTTGGAATCTCGGTCATGTGATGTTGCCCAGGCTGGTCTCAAACTCTTGGCCTCTAGTATCCCTCCTCAACCTCCTGAGTTGCTGGGATTACAGACATGAGCCACCACCATCAGCTCTACAGCAATGTTTTAATGTTTTTAAATTTTCAATTTACGTCCTTTTTTTTGTTTCAGGGAAGTATGATAAAGGAATTTCAAGCATAAGAATGTTACATTAAGATAAAATTTTTAGATGAAATAGAATTCAAAGACAAGTTCACAGAAAAGGAAAAATACAAATTTCTGACTATTAGAGAATGGTTTATTTTATTTTTAAAAACATATTAAATAGGCTGGGCACAGTGGCTTATGCCTGTAATTCCAGCACTTTGGGAGGCTGAGGCAGAAGGATCACCTGAGATCGGGAGTTTGCGACCAGCCTGCCCAACACGGTGAAACCCCGTCTCTACTAAAAATACAAAATTAGCCAGGTGTAGTGGCACACGCTTGTTATCCCAGCTACTTGGGAGGCTGAGGCAGGAGAATCACTTGAACCCAGGAGGCGGAGTTTGCAGTGAGCCGAGATTGCGCCGCTGCCTTCCAGCACGGGCAGTGGAGCCAGAGCAAGACTCCATCTCAAAAATAATAATAATAATAAATAAATCAAAAATAAATTTAAAAAAATTAAAACCTAGTAAATAATAGTGGGCATCAAATCACTTATGTTGATTTGATTCTGTTGACTGCACTTTAAAAAGTAACGTAGCAGTTTTATTTTTAAATGCAAATATTTACAATAGGCCAGAAGTGACAATAGGCTGGAAATTACAGTTGGATAAGTGATATTTCCAGTCTCCCTGATGGTTATTGCCATTCCAGTGAGCTGGAAGGGGAAAAGACATGGAAAAGGAACAAACAGGAAGCTTTTATGAACCAGACCTGGAAGTATGCATATTGCATCCATTCATTTCACTAGCTAAAACTCAGTTGCATGGCCCTCCTTACTGTAAGGGAGACTAAGAAATATAATCTGGCTGTAACCCTAGGAAGCAGAAGAGAATATGGATTTTGGTTAGCAGCAAGCAGTCTGTAGAATAATCATCTGTATATATACATAATAATGCTACGTAAACACAGGTAAATTGTCATTAGTTGTACAGTGAACTGGGAGTCTGAACAATGATGAAGGCTTCTTGTTACAAAGAGACACTCTTCCATTTCGTAATTATCAGTGGCTATCAAGTATTTATTGAGGTCTCTGTGTGCCCTGTGCTTACGTTGAACAGCTTGCAATGGTTCAGCAGACAAAATAGAATGCAAGTAAAACAATGAGTGATGAGATAGGTGCTAAGTTGTGTAGTATAGACTAGGTGATATAAAAGTGCAGAGGAAAGAGGAAGAAAGAAGTCCTGGTATTCCTTCTTTAACCATACAACAAGTATTTACTGAGTGCTTACTATGTGGTAGGGGCATTTTCTGTGCTCTTTTTGGGGAATCAGTAGAGAGCAAAAATAGATACACAGACCCTAAAGTTTATAGGGGTGGGGGAAGGGAGTATGACAAATGAATCAAATAATTACACAAACATATAAACTTACAAAACCAAGAAAAGAAAGATAAATTATGTCATGAGATCCTACCTAAGGGGATTCAACTACAGTTGGGATGGTTAGAGAGGGCATCCTAAGCTAAGGTTTTCTATGGGTATGGTTTAGAATGGATGTCAGCCACAAGAGTGAAGGACTGGAGCTGAAACAGGTAAGTACACATGGGACAGGAAGATCACTACTCTGATTGGAAATATGAATCGGAAATATTGGAAATGCTTTGGAGGGAATGGAGAGAAAATAAACATAGGGTCAGATTAGGGCTAATCTTCAAAACGAAGAAAATTTAGGCTTAATTTTGTCATTAAATGGAGACTCTTGGGATGTTTCTGAGACAAGAGATTTAATAAAAACATGAAAGTAAAGTTTGCAAAATATTAGTTAGGCAATGTCTGTGTGGTGGATTCAAGCTTTATGAATCAATGTCTGTCAGAAATTGTGTGGTGGGCAGGTAGAGACTGGAATCATAAAGCTTACTTTCAGTGTGTTTTGCAAATATCCCGGCAGGAAGTGATGTGACCAGTGACAGTATTGCCAAGTTGAAAATGAGAACAGACTTGGGGAAATGGTTTCAGAAGTTGATTGCTTTTGCTTTTATCTGTGAAGCTCTTACATAATTGAATTGTGGTGGTAATGAATACAATTTGAAAAGGATGGGATCCATTTTCCCAATATATTGACCAATTATTGTAAGATTAGTAAGTGTTGTGGAATTGAGGTGACTACAAGTCATAGGTTCTATTGATTGTGTTACCCAAATTTTTATCTTATATATAGATCTTTATACCAGTACCCATTAGCCAGGATAAAGAAGTAGAAATGGCTGGGCATGGTGGCTCACACCTGTAATCTCAGCACTTTTTGGGAGACTGAGGTGGGAGAATCACTTGAGCTCAAGAGTTCGAGACCAGCCTGGGCAACATAGTGAGACCCTGTCTCTATGTTTTTTTAAGAAAAAGAAGAAAGACTCCTCCCACCCCTCCACCCCAAAGAAAAAAGAGGCAGAAAGAATAAATGAATGAGAAATTCTTTTTACTGTGTTATATAGATTGGTTTTGTTTTATGCATTTATATATTATGTTGATTGAATACCTGTGGGGTCCTGTTGCCTTTTTAAAAATTGTTATTTAAATGAAACGGTCTTATTCTGTCACCCAGGCAGGAGTGCAGTGGTGCGATCACAGCTCACTGCAGCCTTAACTTCCCAGGCTCAGGTGATTCTCCCACCTCAGCCTCCCAGGTAGTTTTACTGTGTTGCCCCAGGCTGGTCTTGAACTCCTGGGCTCAAATGATTTGTCTGCCTTGGACTTCCAGAGTGCTGGGATTACAGACATGAACCACCATGGCCAGCCCTTATTGCCATATTTTAAAAAACAGTCTTTTTTTTTTTTTAGTTGAGACGGGATTTCACCATGTTGGCCATGTTGGCCAGGCGAGACTAAGTCTCAAAAAATAAAAAATAAAAAACACTCTTACTATAGAAATTTAAAATATAGGTCGGGCATGGTGGCTCACGCCTGTAATCCCAGCACTTTGGGAGGCCAAGGCAGGTGGATCTCCTGAGATCAGGAGTTCAAGACCAGCCTGGCCAACATGGCAAAAACCCATTTCTACTAAAAATACTAAAAAATTTAGCCGCGCGTGGTAGCAGGTGCTACTTGGGAGGCAAGGCAGGAGAATCACTTGAACCCAGGAGGTGGAGGTTGCAGTGAGCTGAGATTGTGCCACTGCACTTCAGCCTGGGTGACAGAGCAAGACTCCATCTCAAAAAAATTTCAAATATATTAAAAGGTTGAAATAGCAATTAACCCCCATGTACCTTTCATCCAACTTTGGAATTATCAACTTGCCTATTTTTTGTCACCCTGCTTCTCATTTTTTAGGTTAATCATGTCATTTCATCTGTAGATGTGTCTTTATGTATAGAAAAGATAGGGACACTTTTGGGAAAAAAACTTACGCACAGTCTTTTAATTTTTTTTTTTTGTAATGAGATAGGGGTCTTGCTGTGTTGCCTAGGCTGGTCTTGAACTCCTGAGTTCAAGCGATCCTCCCACCTTGGCCTCCCAAAGTGCAGAGATTACAGGCATGAGCCACCATGCCTAGCTCCTTTAATGTTATTAAATACCTAGTTAGTGTTCACATTTCCCCAGTCATCATATTTTTTTCACTACGTTTGAATTGAGATCCAGTTCTATATGTCTGTCTTTATAAGTTTGGAAATGATTGATATTTCTCTTAGTTTTATGATCTCCTTTTTCTTGTTGCCTTTTACCATGTGTTTTGCAGATATTTTCTCTCAATCTATGGCTTGTCTGTTCATTATGTTATGTTATGTTATGTTATGTTATGTTATGTTATGTTATGTTATGTTATTTTTTTGAGATGGAGTCTCGCTCTGTTGCCCAGGCTGGAGTGCAGTGGCGCAATCTCGACTCATTGCAACCTCCACCTCCCAGGTTCAAGTGATTCTCTTGCGTCAGCTTCCTGAGCTGCTGGGATTACAAGTGGATGCCACCAAGCCCAGTTAATTTTTGTATTTTTAGTAGAGACGAGGTTTCAACATGTTGGCCAGGCTGGTCCTGACCTCAAGTGATCCGCCTCCTTCGGCCTCTCTAAGTGCTAGGATTACAGGCGTGAGCCACCGTACCCGGCCTGTTCATTCTTTTAACAGTGTATTTTTAAAAAATCATGTTCTTGAATCATATTAACAGTGGTTTTTGCAGAGCAGTTTTTAACTTTAATGAAGTTTAACTTACCAGTTTTTTCTTTCATGGATTGTCCTTTTGGTAGTGTATCTAAAAAGATAGAGCTAAACTCAAGGTTACCAAATGTTATCTTCTAGGAGTTGTATAGTTTTGCACTTTATGTTTAGGTCTGTGAGCCCTATGTGAAAGGTGTAAGGTCTGTGTCTAGATTCCTTTTTTTGCATGTGGACCTTCTGTTATACCAGCACCATTTGTTGAAAAAGACTATCCATTCTTCATTAAATTGCTTCTGGTGCTTTGTTAGAGGTCAGTTGATTGTGTTGGGTGTGGTCTGTTTTTATGTTCTCCTGTTAATTAGTCATTTTCAGTCTTTGCCAATTTAACTGATTAAAAAATGTCATATACCAGCCTGGCCAACATGGTGAAACCCCGTCTCTGTTAAAAATACAAAAATTAGCCGGGCATGGTGGTACGCACCTGTACTTCCTACTACTTGGCAGGCTGAAGTGGGAGAGTCACCTGAACTGGGGAGGCAGAGGTTGCAGTGAGCCAAGATCACACCACTGAACTCCAGCCTGGAAGACCCAGTGAGACTCCGTCTTAAAAATAAATAAATAAATAAATAAATAAATAAATAATCTCATATAAATTTGTATTTTTAAAAATTATTCATATCTGTCTTCTGGACTTATTTTCTGTGAACTCCATGCCTATTGCATTGTCTTTTTTCCCTTGTGGTCTTAAAAATGTCTGTGGTACATTAAGGAACTTATTTCTTTATTATTAATGTGGTTACAAATATTTTTCTCTGTGGTTTGTTCTATATAATGTTTTTCCTTGCAGAAATTTCACATTAAATAAGTCAAAATTTAGTCTCTTCATGTGTGAATTTTTAGTTTTTGAGTCACACTTGGATAAGTCTTCCTTACTCCAATATTTATCTATTTTGAAAATCATTTAATTTTATGTTATTTTTTTACATGTAACATTCCTTTAGTACAAATTAAGTACAGGAACAGATAGTTTTTTTTAACTTTATGAAATGGTTAAATTGGTATTTGATTCTATATCATTTTGATCCTGATTTTTTTTGTTTTTGAGACGGGGTCTTGCTCTGTCACCCAGGCTGGAGTGCAGTGGTGCGATCGTGGCTCACTGCAGCCTTCACCTCCCAGGCTGAGACAATCCTCCCACCTCAGGGCTAGGACTGTAGGCACATGCCACCATGCCTGCATAATTTTTTCAGTTTTTGTAGAGATGGGGTTTTGCCATGTTGCCCATGCTGGTCTTGAACTGCCTGGCTCAAGTGATCTGCTCACCTCGGCCTCTCACATTGCTGGGATTACAGATGTGAGCCATTGCATGCCAGGGCGATACTGACTGATTTTCATAACTTAGCTTGCAAAGTGGATATCTATTTTTCTTTATTTTTATTTTTTTAAAGACAGAGTCTTGCTATGTTGCCCAGGCTGGTCTTAAACACCTGGCCTTAAATGATCCTCCCATCTCAGCCTCCCAAGTAGCTGTGATTACAGGTGTGAGTCACTGTACCCAGCTATTTTTTCAATTTTTTAAAATTGTGGCAAAATATACGTAATATAGGATGTACCATCTTTTTAAATTATACAGTTCAGTGATATTAAGTACATTCATATTGTTCTGTAAGTATCACAACCATCCATCTCCAGAACTGTTTTCTTCTTGTGAAACTGAATTTCTATATCCTTTAAACAGTCACTCCCCGTTCCAGTCTTGCATGCTGGCACAAGCCTGTAATCCCCAGCACTTTGGGAAGCTGAGGTGGGAGGGTTGCTTGAGCCCACGAGTTCAAGATCAGCCTGGGCAACATGGTGAGACCCCCATCTCTATAAAAATTAAAAAATTAGCTGGGCGTAGTGATGCATGCCTGTAGGCCCACCTACAGGAGGCTGAGATGGGAGGATCCCTTGAGCCCAGAAAGTTGAGGCAGCAATCGCTGCCTCGCGAGTGCCTAAGCTATTGCACCACTGCTGTCCAGGCTGGGCCACAAAGCGACATCTTGTCTCTAAAGAAATTAAAAATAACCCTTCATCTTTTCTCTCCTTAGTCCCTGGAAGTCACTATTCTACTAATGTCTCCATAATTTTGACTATAATACTTCATATAAGTGTAAACATACAATATTTGTCTTTTTGTGATGGGCATATTTTACTTAGCATAAGGTCCTGAAGGTCCATTGGTGTTATAGCATATACATCAGAATACCCTTCCTTTTTAGGGCTGAATAATATTCCATTGGATATATATGCACTGTATTTTGATTAGGCATTCATCTGTCTGTGGACACTTGAGTTGTTTCCACCTTTTGGCTATTGTGAATAGTGCTGCTATGAACGTGAGTTTACAAATATCTCTTCAAGACCCTACTTTTAATTCTTTTGAATACAGTATGTACCCAAAAGTAGAATTGCTGGATCATATGGTAATTCTGTTCTTACTTTTTTGAGGACCTGTCATACTGTTTCCACAGTGTACTATTTTATATTCTCATCAACAGTGCATAAAGATTCCAGTTTCTCTACATCCTTACCAACAGTTGTTTTTGACAGTAGCCATCCTTATGGATGTGAGGTAGTATCTTATTGTAGTTTTGACTTGTATTTCCCTAATAATTAGTAATGCTGAGCACCATTTTATGTGCTTATTGGCCATTTCTATATCTTATTTGGAGAAAATTCTATCCAAGTTCTTTGCTCATTTTAAAATTGGATTGCTTATTTTTGTTATTACGTTTAGGAGTTCTCTGTATATTCTAAATGTTAATCACTTATCAATATACGATTTGCTAATGTTCTCTCCCATTCTATGGGTTGCCTTTTTACTCTGTTGATAGTGTTTTCTGATGCACAAAATTTAAAAATTTTTATGATATCCATTTCTCTATTTTTCTTTGATTGTCTGCACCTTTGGTGTTGTATCCAAGAAATCATTGCCAGACCCAGTGTTGTGAAGCTTTGCCCTGTTTTCTTCTAAGAGTTTTTTTTAGTTTTAGCTTTTACATTTTGGTCATGGATCTCTTTTGAGTTCATTTGTGTGTAATTTGTTAGGTAGGTGAGGGTCCAACTTCACTGTTTTGCACACGGATATTCAGTTTTCCCAGCACCATTTGTTGAAAAGTATGTATTTTCCCTGTTGAACTATCTCAGCACCCTTGTTGAAAATCGTTTGATCATAAATGGGATTTTTTTTTCCTTAGGGCTCTCTATTCTGTTCTATTAGTCTATATATTTTAATACCAGCTGTGGTTTTACTTTTTAGGTTAAATCTTAAATCCATTTGTAATTTGTTAAAAGGAATGAGGTATAGGGATCAGCTTTTTTCTTCAGATCATGTAGCTAATCCACATTATTATCATTCTCCATTGATTTGAGATGCCCACTTTTATAAACTTTTTTATATATGGATTTTTAAAAATGTATTCCTTTGATCTTTAGCACTCTGTTCCTAGGCTAATCCCATACTATTTTATTTTCCCTGTCTTGATAAATATGTTTTAATCCTTAGTAGGGCTGGTTTCTGGTCCTGATACCTTATAGTTTGTCTAATTTTGCTTCATATCATCATTGGACTCCTTCTGTGGCTGCTACCATGGATACTAATACACCACATATAAATTACTCATCCATGTCGCTATAACTCATAGCTATGAATAAAACATAAGTTGGATTAATATCCATGGAAAAATAGCAAATGAATGGCTTATACCTCTTTTGTAATATTTCACCAGTCAATACATCAGTGCTGAATGTTCTCGTGCATCTTAAGATTCACTGTCATTGGTCATGTAATACATTTAATATTTATCTTTTCTTACTTTATCATTTGTCTCTTTTAGCTTGAAAGTATTTTAAAGCTTGCAAATTTGTTTCCTGCTAGGTTTATTTATTTTAATAACCTACAATTTGGGGATCAGGGTAACGTAATCATAGCTTTTCCATGATGATAAGCTCTATAACCATTGTCACAAATTTTTAAAAACTATATTAATACGTATTTATACAAATTCAGTGTTTTTGGATATTGGTTAAGCTATATCTCTGTATTTTCTTATCTACATATCTACAAATACGTATCAAAATCACCAAGTAAAAGAGAATATTCATTTGTGAGGACAAAAGAAGAATGTTTTATTCCTCTTTTTCTTTTAGGTAAGTCTGCAATTTTAAGTAAGGACTTTTGGCATTTAGTAATAGGAAACTAATGATCCAAGAAATTATCTTAAATATATAATTATATTAATCTGTAAAAAGAAATGGCTTAGAAAATAGTACAAAAAGAAATGTCTTGCAAGTCTGTCCGCGTTTTTGAGGGCAGTCACTTATATATGTTAAACATAGCTATTTTGAATCTAAATTAAGATATTTGCTTTTTAGCCCAACTCTTAAAGATGTTATTCAGGAAATAGAGATAACTCCAAATGAAGATTTTTACTGAATGCACGTGAACTGTTTTATGTAATGGGTGTATTTTCAGAGAGATGTTCACATGTTGTTCTTTGCAGGCCACTGTAATTGAAGAAAGGGGCCAATTTGTGAATTCTCTCAAGCAATGAAATGTGTAAAATCCTTCTGTCTTTTTCAGTTTTTAAGTAGTAACTTATATGTTACTTAGTTTTTTAGATGCTAAGAAATGTGGTTTAATAAGTGGTTGCTAAGGGTTAGGGCTGGGGAGAGAGTGTTACTATAAAGCATAGTGCAAGGGAGATTGGGGTGATGGAAGAATTTTATATATCTTCATGGTGGTGTTGATTACATGAATCTCTACAAGTGATAACATTACATGGACTAACACGTCAAAAAAGTGTGCATGAAAACTGGTGAAATCGGAATATGATCTGTAGTTTAGTTAATAGTTTTGTGCTGGCTGGGCACTGTGGCTCACACCTGTAATCCCAGCACTTTGGGAGCATACTTTACAACTTGTAAAATAGTTAAAGACCAGCCTGGCCAACATGGCGAAACCTCATCTCTACTAAAAATATAAAAATTAGCCAGTTGTGGTGGCACACTCCTGTAATCCCAGCTACTTGGGAGGCTGAGGTAGGAGAATCGCTTGAACCTGGGAGGCAGAGGTTGCAGCAAGCCAAGATCATGCCACTGCACTCCAGCCTGGGTGACAGAGTGAGACTCCATCTGGAAAAAAAAAAAAAAAAAGCAAAAATAAATGGACTGCATTAAACAAAAAATATCCTGCACAGCAAAGGAAATGATAAAATGAAAAGGCAGCCTATGGATTGAGGAAAAGACATTTGCAAACCATATATCTGATAAGAGGTTAAAATCTACAATTTATAAAAAACTCAGGCTGGGTGCAGTGGCTAATGCCTGTAATCCCAGCACTTTGGGAAGCTGAGGGAGGCCGATCACTTGGGGTCAGGAGTTCAAGACCAGCCTGGCCAACATGGTGAAACCCCGTCTCTATTCAAAATACAAAAATTAGCTGGGCATGGTGGCGTGTGCCTGTATTCCCAGCTACTTGGGAGGCTGAGGCAGGAGAATCACATGAACTCAGGAGACAGAGGTTGCAATGAGTGGAGATGGCACCACTGCACTCTAGCTTGGGCAACCGAGTGAAACTCCATCTCAACAACAACAACAACAACAACAACAAAAGAACTCATACAGCTTAATAGTAGAAAAACAACCCAATTAAAAAATACGCAAAGTACCTGAATAGACATTTCTGCAAAGGTACAAAAATGGCCAACAGACATATGAAAATGTATTCAACATCATTAATCATCAGGGAAATGGAAAATGAGAGCCACTATGAGATGCCACTTCACACCCATTAGGATGGCTATTATCAAAAGTTAACATAATAAATGTTGGTGAGGATGTGCAGAAAACGGAACCCTTGTATATTGATTGTGGGAATGTAGATTGGTGCAGCCATTATGGAAAACAGTGTGGAGGTTTCTAAAGAAATTGAAAATAGAACTACCACATGACCCAGCAATCCCTCTTCTGGGAATATGTTCAGAAGAAATGAGATCACCACCTCCTGAGGATATCTGCACTTCCATGTTTATTATAGCACTATTCACAATAACCAGGATATGAAAACAACCTGTTGACAGATGAATGAGTAAAGAAACTGTAGTATATATATAAAATAAAATATTATTCAACCTTGAAAAATAAGATCCTGCCATTTGCCACAACATGGATGAATCTGGTGGGCATTATGCCAAGAGAAACAGAAAGAAAAATATTGTGTGATCTCACATATGTGGAATCTGGAAAAAAATGGTCAAATATACAGAGATAGAAGATAAAACTGGTTACTGGGTGGGGGTAGCAGAGGAACTAGGTGAGAGGATGTAAAATAATATGTAGGATGAACAAGTGTAGAAATCTAATATACAGTGTGAGGACTATAAGTAACAAAATTGTACAGTATTTGGGATTCCTGCTAAATGAGTAGATTTTAACTGCCCTTGCCACAAAAACAAACAAAATGGACAACTATGCAAGATGATGGATATATTGATTTGCTTCATTATACTAACATTTATGTATATTGGCTATATGTATCCCATACATCATGTGATATACCTTAAATATACACAATCAAATGTACTTTTAGAAGAGCAATAGAAAAATGTATACTAAACAAACTTAATTCAACCAACCCCTGTACTATGCCATGCCATAACTACCTCATAGTGTGGTTGTTAGATCAGATAATCTTCTATAGAATTTTTAGTACTGTCCTCCATGCATATTAAGTACCCAATAAATGTAACTATTATGTTTCAAGCACCTTGTTTCCTAATGTACTTAGTGTTTTTCCCCCATTTTGAGCGGATATAGTAAGGACTATCTATGTCTTTTGCACCATTGTATGTACTTGTCTCGTAGGTTGCTTGATTTTTCAGTAGCTTCCATATTTATACATTTAATCATTTTTCTTATGCTTTCTGTTTTCATTTAATTCACTGGTATGGCTGCTGTTATCTCTTATTTTGAATCTGGTTTTTGCTTATGATAATATGTGAATTATTTTATGCGGAAGTAATGTCTTTTATAATGTTTCTGAACTAAATGGCATTATTTTTGTTTTCTCCTGGACTTTTATGATAAAAGTATTTAGAATTCTTGTTTCATAAATTATTATCCATATAGTGAATACATATTTCCTCCATCATACATCAGTTGTCTTTTAGCATGAGAGCTTTTTATAGAGTAGGTGAGGATGTAATTATTTATAAAATAATACTATATATCTGGTTAGAGACTCTTTGATCCTTTGCATTGTATGACAGTGTGTTGTACATTGGTTAAACAGCAGTTAGGGACTTCTCAAAAGACTATTGTGTTCTGCTCTGCCTAAGATGTTTCATTTAGCTTTTGGGGAATTCCCATTGCCTTTTGTCAGACCAAAGAAAAGGATTAATATCAGTCTTTAATTTTAAAAATAATTAAATCATTTTAATCAATTAAAATGATTGTGGCTCCCACCTGTAATCCCTACCCTTTGGGAAGCTGAGGTAGGAGGATTGCTTGAGCCCAGGAGTTCAAGACCAGCCTGGGCAGCAAAGTGAGACCCTGTGTCTAACACACACACACACACACACACACACACACACACACACACACACAAATTAACTGGGCGTGGTACCTGTGGTCCTACGTGCTCAGGAGGCTGAGGCAGGAGGATGGCTTGAGCCCAGGAGGTCAAGGCTGCAGTGAGCCGTTATTGCACTACTGCACTCCAGCCTGGGTGACAGAATGAGACCCTGTCTTCAAAAAAAAAAAAAATATATATATATATATATATATATATATAAATTTTTTTTTGACTCAGGGAATACAAAACTAGTTTCCCTAGACAAACAAAATTGGTAATTTTGGACTGAATTTGGCCTCCTGCCCATATGCTAGTGGGTACTTTTATACCTAGGGAGTATTATGCCTTTCAGAATTTACTAAACTTAGTAAGGGTATCAGGTAGGCTTTTCTTTTGGGAAAAAGCAGCACTTTGGGGGGCTGAGGCAGGTGGATCACCTGAGGTCAGGAGTTCAAGACCAGTCTGACCAATATGGTGAAACCCTATATCTACTAAAAATACAAAACATACAGAACATGGGAATATAAAATTTGTTGTAGTTATTTTGGTGGGTAGCAATAATGCCAACCATCTATATCATCTTTTCTCTATATTGAATATGGGGCTTAATTCTGGGAATTTTAAAATAATTCTTTTCTTATAAATTTTACCTGATATTAACAAAGTTGTGTAAGTACTTGCAAATTAAGTAATAATTTCTTCATAGCAAGTCATCTGAAATGGACTACCAAGGAAGTTAACTACTAGAGATGGAAGGTAGAACTCATTAATTTTGGTTTTATTTCTGTATTTATTACCATTCTTTTCATTTCTCTTTGAACAGGTTGTTCCTTTCAGCAGCTTTTGATGCAATACAGGAGCATACTTTACAACTTGAGCAATGGTTATAAATTAAAAATAGTAGGAAAGTTACATCCCAGATTAATGACAGCCATGTTGTATTGTTTAATAGGCAGTGAAATCAACTGTGCAGACCATCACTGTTGGAGGAGTGAGCACATCACAGTTTAAGACAATTATTCCTCTGGCAACTGCTCCCAATGTCCAGCAGATTCAAGTGCCTGGAAGCAAGTTTCATTATGTCCGACTTGTTACTGCCACATCAGCCAGTAGCTCAACCCAGCCAGTTAGTCAGAATCCCAGTACAAACACTCAGCCTCTTCAGCAAGGTTAGTAACCATTTTTTAAAAACAGTAATTCATGCTTTTAACATGATTAAAGAACATTTGTCCATTTCTTGCTGAAATCCTGATGAAGAGTGGCATTTCAACTGAGTTTGAGCCAGTAACTGGTGCAGAAGGCAGTGAAATAGAATGATAGTTGCGCATAACTGTAGTATTCTTTCTGCTAGATGTTGGTACACAGTGTGGTATTATACCAGATAATAGTAATTATTTGTTAATTCGTGGTTAGCCATTTTATTGCTGGTTTTAAAACCTGCCATTTATGCCAGTGGGATACATTTAGATGGAACCGTATTATGTATTTTATTTGCTAAACTATAAAGCCCCTTGATAGGGTTTGGGTCAGTTGAAATGACAAATAGGCAAGGTGTAAGTAAGAAAGAACTTAATGTCACTTTCAGCTTTTACTTATTTTGAATCTATAATTGCTACTAAAAAGGTGATTAAAAGGCCAGGCACGGTGGCTCACACCTGTAATCCCAGCACTTTGGGAGGCTGAGGCAGGTGGATCACCTGAGGTCAGGAGTTCAAGACCAGCCTTAACAATATGGTGAAACCCTGTCTCAACTAAAAATACAAAAATTAGCCGGGTGTGGTGGTGTGTGCCTGTAGTCCCAGCTACTTGGGAGGCTGAGACTGGAGAATTGCTCGAACCTGGGAGATGGAGGTTGCAGTGAGCTGAGATCATGCCACTGCACACCAGCCTGGGCGACAGAGCGAGATTCCATCTCAAAAAAAAAAAGTGATTAAAATGTTTTATTTTGCTTAGTTGTATTTTCCCTAAAGGATATTCCTGTTTGTTGTCCTTCTATTTTCTATGTTTGTGTTTAACCCTTCTTACCACCTGATATACATCCATAGACACATAAATGACCTTTTTCATATTTAGCTACTTTTCTAAAAATTGAGGGATATGAAAGGATCGGGATAGTTTATAGTTTAGGGCTTACGTGTTTCCTTGTTTTATATTCTGACAATGTCAAGAAGCAGTTGATGGCAATTAAGTGATATATTGTTTATCGAAAGTAAATAGAAGAATTAAAGACTAGTTGGTTACTCTTTGATTTTTATTAAGAGATCAGAGGGTAGATCAGGCGCTGTGGCTCACTCCTGTAATCCCAGCACTTTGGGAGGCCAAGGATCATCTGAGGTCAGGAGTTCGTGACCAGTCTGGCCAACATGGCGAAACCCCGTCTCTACTAAAAATACAAAAATTAGCTGGGTGTGATGGCGCGTGCCTGTGATCCCAGCTACCTAGGAGGCTGAGGCAGGAGAATCGCTTGAACCTGGGCAGCGGAGGTTGCCGTGAACCAAGATTGCGCCACTGCACTCCAGCCTGGGCGACAGAGCGAGACTCCATCTCAAAAAAAACAAAACACAACAAAAAAGAGATCAGAGGGTAGTCTGAAGGTCGTGAATTAGCTTGATTGATTGTTCACAGTTACAGTTGGAACTCCTTGTTCTACCTTTTTCCTCTTCTTACTGCTATACTTGAGTAGTCTAAAATTAAAAATTAAAAAAAAAATCAGAGATTTGGAGCTACCTGTTGCTGATAGGTGGTTCACCTGAGGGAACCTATAGAAGAATAAAACCTATTTATTTCTCTTTCAAATTACTGAAGGGAGAAAACAGTAAGCAGTATTTAGTATATATCTTATTAAATTAGTCATAGCAAGCAGTTATATTTTCTAATTCTTTTTAGAAAAGATTTTGGAATAAAATCATTATCATAATCTTAATGAGGGGAAAAATGAAAAAACCATATTGTTGACTAAGGGAGTCAAATTTTATATTCTCTCAATACTTAAACTTAGCAGGGTACTGAGAGAAGTGCTATAAGTCCAATCTACTTAGGTAGTGTGATGATGATGATAGAAAGCAGTCATTATATATAATTGGTTGTATTTTATGTGTGTGTTTGTATGCGTATAATAGTATGCTGAGAATCCATATAATGGATTAAACCTAATTAATGTTAACATTAATTTATTCATTAGCAAGAGTATGCCTTTAGTATAAGGAAGATCCAGGGAGAGTGGAGGAATGGGATGGACATTTCAAAATAGAGTATTGGCTGGGCATGGTGGTGCACACCTGTAATCCCAGCACTTTGGGAGGCTGAGGTGGGCGGATCACTTGAGGTTGGGAGTTTGAGACCAGCCCTGCCAACATGGTGAAACCCTGTCTCTACCGAAAAAATACAATAATTAGTTGGGCGTGGTGGTGCACACCTGTAATCCCAGCTACTTGGGAGGCTGAGGCAGGAGAATCACTTGAACCCGGGAGGCAGAGGTTGCAGTGAGCTGAGATCACACCACTGCACTCCAGCCTGGGCAACAGAGTGAGACTCTGTCTCAAAAAAAAAAAAAAAAAAAAAAAAATCAGTATTGACTGGTGCCTTCTTTTCCAGCTTTATGTCTGTCTTTCTGCCTGTCTCTACTTCTCTTTTTCTCCTTGCCACCTGGCAGTCCTTCACCACTCTTCTGCTTCCCTTCTGCTTCCTTTTTTGCTTTTCACCTTGAACACTGTCTCTCTGTTCTCCACTATATCTCTCTGCCTTCTTCACCTCACTCTATACCCTCTTCCCACCCAGCCACATACATATACGCCCATGTTATTTCCCTTATATCCATCTATATTTTTCTCTTTTTGTCTCTGTCTCCTGTCCCATAAAAGATCTGGATATATATAATATATATTATTTCACAGGAATAACAAGTTAAATACAATTTTTATTAGAGTTACACTAAATAGTTGCTCTAGTTCATCAAATATTAATGTCTCTTTATGAGGAATTTACTTAAATGCCAAAGGGGCTTATCTTGTACATTTTCCCCCGAAAGTTGCACAAGAACTAATGTTCAAAGGCTCCACCATGTTAATCGTTGGTACAGTGGTAGGCAGAATAGTAGAAGGACTCAGGAAAGTGCTTGGTTAGCCTTTTCAGAATACAACCTGTCATCTCGGTGAGGGAGGAAACCAATTTAAGAAGTTAAAAAGCCTCAAACACTTGCAGGTATGGTTTCTGAAGTTTGGAAGGAGGCTATTCTAAAGGATTGTTCAGAGTTCCTGCCAAAGACTAAAAACTACACAATTATGCCAGCTTCTATGAAAACTGAAGTAGTAGTTAGTAATGTGCGCTAAGGTAAGGAGGACAAGAAATGCAGATGGTTGACCTAGTTACATAACATCCCCTTCCCTAGGTATTTTATAGTATTCTGTTTTATGACCACTTGGTTTTATATTTTCTTCATTCCCCAGGCTTCAGTGAAAACTCAGTATGCAAGTGTCAAACCTATGTAAATTTGAGTTTCTAAGTTTTCTTTACCGGGCCAGGGAGGGAGGGAGGGTGTGTGTGTGTGTGTGTGTGTGTGTGTGTGTGCGCGCGCACACGCACACATTTGTGCATGTGTATGAGGAGAAGGCAGGGATAGTCCCCATTTAATGTGATGAAAGGCAGGTCACTCTCCTTCCCAGTTATTTCTCAGGACCACCAGGAAGTTTTTGGATTCCACTGGTCATTGCTCTCACTTCAGAATCACTGCACTGTGCTCATGGAACAGCGACTGTCATCTCTCCCAGGAGCAGGTGGTGGAGGGAGTCCACTCTCCTGTGTCCCAAGCAGGAATTCAGGCTCTCCTTTTAATTCCTTCTAGCATTGCTGAGACCAATCTACAATGGTTATTATAACCTTGCTAATGGTTCAGTATAATTGAGGAAAATTCAAACAGAACAGGAACAACTTCAAACTGGGTATCAGATGTCACACTGCTCTGGTATTTCATACAGGAAAAGAGTCTTACACTCTTTTTGTATAACAACCTTACTGAGATGTAATTCATGTATACCATAAAGTTCACCCTTTCAAAGCATACCATTCACTGGTTTTTAGTATATTCACAAAATTATGCAACCATCACCACTAATCATATATTCTCTCTAGACGTCTCCTGCTCTCCCTCCTTCACCCTAGTTTGTCACCTTGCTGCAGTGGGCTGCTGCCTTTTAAATCAGAGTGCCTACTCTAAGATTCTCTTCTAGGACTCTCAGCTTTTTTGTCTTTAGCCATCATCCTTCCAGTCCCCACCAAAAGCAAAAACAAAAAAAAACTGCTGATATCATAGTAGCCTTTCTATCTAAGGAAATTTATTCTTTTTCGTTTTGTTCAGAATTCTCTCAACCTCTCTTTCAGACCAGGCTCCAGGCCTTACTTTTACATCAGTGAAACCTGAAGAGATGTCATTTCTATCTTCTTAAATCTGCTTTTAACAGTGGAAATGGCAGTAGGCAGTTTTTAAAATTGCACTTCTTGTTGGTCCAAATGTATATGTCTAGTGCCAATGTCTTTCCTGAATTTCATCCCAGTATTTCTCCATGTCAAGTTTCATCCTCCCTTTAAAATAGCTCATCCTTGAGTTTTTAGTTCTAATAACTGTCATTTTCCTGGTCACTTGAAAGCTCTGCAGTGACTTACATTTTCTTCGCTTATACCTACAGTTCCTACCATTCAGTGGTTGGTAAGTCATGGTCCTTTCACCTACACCAGGTCTCTTGCATCTGCTCTCTCTTTTTTATTCCCACTGCTGTCACTCCAGATCACTCCAGATCAGACCCTCATTTTTTTGCACTCTTCTGACTTGTCTCTTGCAACTCCATTCTGTTTTATGCACTGCTGCCAAATACAATTAATTTTTCTTTTATTTCAATATAATTTCTGTATTTAAAAATCCCTAGAAACTTCTCATTGCGTACTGAATTAAAAATACAGATTAAATACAGAGTCCTACCCTAACATTCAAGGTCCTCCATAAATGTCTGCAATCTGCCTTTTTGCCTGTATTTGTCTGCGTTAATCCCAGGTATTAGCCAGACTGGTTTGTTCACCAACATTTGTAAATATGCTTTGCAGCTTCCCAAGATTAAGCTTCCACTTCTCATGCTTCCGTCTTTGTGTGAAATGCCCTTCTCCAGTCTATGTGCCCTCCATGCGGCCAGCCTATTGATTGGGGCCCATCTCAATACTGTGTCCTCCGTGTGCTTTTTCTATATTTCCATCCTCTGCCAACGATATATATATATATATATATATATATCCTCTTAACTCCCACAGCTCTTCATGTATCTTCTTTAATAATATTTATCTTATTTGGACACGTGCCTAATCTGCTGAACTAGAATATAATCTCCCTGACAGCAGAGGTCTAGTGCTTTAGTTTTCCTGAAACAATGGCTACAATGCCATTTATATAGTAGCAGCAGTTGTAACAACGATGATGGCAGCTAACATTTAGTGAGCATTTACTATTTGTAGGGCAGTGTTCTGATCAATTTTCAAGAATTAACATATACTTAACCCTTATATGCCATAAGGTAGATATTCCCCATATTGCAGATGAGGATACAGGCAAAGAGAGCTTAAGTGGTTAGAAAATGGCAGAACTGGGATTTAAATGCCCTGGGTCTTATGACTTTAGAGTCCATGTTCTTATCCTTTTTGCTGTGCTGCCTTTTAGTATGTATTCTGTAAATATTGAATTACACTGGCTGGGCACAGTGGCTTACGCCTATAATCCCAGCACTTTGGGTGGCCAAGGCGGGTGGATCACCTGAGGTCGGGAGTTCGAGACATTGGGTTCAGCCTGGCCAACATGGCAGAACCCAGTGTCTACTAAAAATACAAAAATTAGCTGGGCATGGTGGCACACACCTGTAACTTCGGGTACTTGGGAGGCTGAGGCACAAGAATCGCTTGAACCTGGGAGGCGGAGGTTGCAGTGAGCTGAGATTGCACCACTACACTCCAGCCTGGGTGACAGACAGAGTGAGTCTCCGTCTCAAAAAAAAACAAAAACCCAAGAATGATATATTCTCTGGTTTGAATAGAAAGAGCAATGAGAAATAGTAGTATAGAGTGCTGTTGTTACTCAAGCTTATGAATGACAGTTCTTTTATTTATACATTTCATTTGACTGGATTTAGTACTGAATGTATAAATCATCTGAATACAGATTGAAGTATTTTCATTTGAATGTCTTGAACCTACAAATATTCCCTCACAAAGTGGATAGACTGTAGCCACCTTAGATATAAGTTCTCTGGTAGATGGGGTAAGCAATTTTGAAAGGTAACTATCCTGATTAAAGATTGCTCAAATTAGGAATCAAATGGAATTCTTTAAGCTCTTTTATGAGAATAACTTGGGAGAGCTAAGTATTCTTAAGTGTTTTAAATACTATTTTCTGTAAATAACTTGTTCATCCTTCTTTTGTTTTTTAAAAAGCAAAGCCAGTGGTTGTTAATACAACCCCAGTGCGGATGTCAGTTCCAATTGTCTCAGCTCAGGCTGTCAAACAAGTAAGTATCACATAACTTCTTTCTCAGTCTTTCCCAAATAGACGATTTACTTTTTAAATAGAAAGTTAAGATTTAGGTGCAAGAGATTTATACTGAATTGAACAGCTGTAAAATTTATTTTGTGGTCATTGATATATGTCCCTTCTTTTTAGGTTGTTCCAAAACCAATCAATCCAACTTCACAAATAGTAACTACTAGCCAGCCACAGCAACGGCTTATCATGCCTGCCACACCACTGCCACAGATCCAGCCCAACCTCACTAACCTGCCACCAGGCACTGTCCTGGCACCAGCTCCGGGAACAGGGAATGTGGGTTATGCAGTGCTTCCAGCTCAGTATGTTACTCAGGTATGTGGAAAAAATGAAGTCATTGTATTGCAAAAGTGATAATGGGGTCCAAGATGTCTAGTGCTATCACAGAAGCTACTCAAACACATCTAACTCAGTATTGAAGTGGCACTTTCCAAAATCTTAAAATGTTAACCCAAACCTTTAAGTTTATTTCTATGTACTTTTAGCATTTAGAAATATATAACACAGGTCAGATATACAAGTCAGACAATTTGGAGCTGAGAGCAGCTTGGCAGGAGCGCAAGCCTGTGGCGATATGATAGAAAATAGACTGAAGTTAAAATCAGCAGAGTCCAAATGAATTTAGAAAAGACTGTGGCTGTTATAAAGCTCTTCCTCACACATAAATTTGATGCCACTGACTTGGAAAATAAGCCCAAGTTTATTTATTGGAAAATAAACTGTGAGATGCATTTCCAGGTGACATATCTTCAGCGATCTATCTACTCTTACTGGTCATCTTTAGAATGAAAGACGGGGAAACAAACCCACACGTGTACTTTTTAATGAAATACACTTTGGAACATGTTATGTGGCTATTGATAAAAAGAATAATGTTCAGTATTTTTGTCATAAGCATTTCTAATGTTTAGAAGTTGGTGTAAAATAGAAACTCAACTATTGTGCATGTAACTTCTCATTCTCTGTAATTTGTAGTGTGATAAATGATCAGTATAGTACCTATTTTATTTGTAAGTAGGCACATTGCATTTTTCTAGCCCAAACAAGTTATTACAGTACTTTGAGAGCATTCATCTAGCATTTCCTATCATTCCGACATACTTAACTCTTCTGTGAAATACTTTCTTTATATTTGTACTATGTAGTACTGTAAAATGTTCACATTATTTTCACCTATAGTATTGGTTTGAGTCTTTAAAAGAGCTCTGTGAAGTATGTGTTTGTGTGATATTCTCCATTGTGTTTTTCTTATCTTAATGGATGAATTTGTATTTCTTACTGATCATCATACCTGACAGTATTGTCCATTTTTGGAAATATGATCTAAAATTAATTTTCTTTACATGTAGCTACAGCAGTCTTCATATGTATCAATAGCAAGCAACTCTACCTTTACTGGAACATCTGGTATCCAGACCCAGGCACGGCTTCCATTCAATGGGTGAGTATTTTGAAAATAGGTACATAAGTTGTTAGATCAGCTTAAATGCAACAGTAAATATATATATTCCAAACTACATCCTCTTTTATTTTTTTCCCCTTAAAGCCATGTGAGCATGCCTCTAAAATACTTGTTGAAATATTTCAAACAGAAAAATTACAGAAATAGTCAATTCCCAAATACTCTATTCAGATTCACCAATTTCACTACACTAGTTTTATTATTCTCTTTCATTCTGAGTATGTTTCCAAAATGATGATGCTAACTATTTTTTATCTTTATTTTTCAAGACAAGGTCTTGCTCTGTTGCCCAGGCTGGAGTGCAGTGCTGTGATCTCAGCTCACTGCAACCTCCCAGGCTCAAGCAATCCTCCTGCCTCAGCCTCCTGAGTAGCTGGAACTCTATGCACATGCCACCATGCTCTCCTAATTTTTAAATTTTTTTGTAGAGATGCGGTCTCACTATATTGCCCAGGCTAATCTCCACCTCCTGGGCTCAAGTGATCCTCCTGGCTCAGTCTCCCAGAGTGCTGGGATTCCAGGCTTAAGCCACTGCACCTGCCCAACTATTTTTAAAATTATGTGAGGTCCTCATTTTTTGTTGATGTTTATTTGTTTATCTATTAATTACTGGCTTTTGCAATATCAGCTTAGAAGCCGTGCTTAATTACCCGGAATCAGTCCACATCCCACTTCCATTTCCTCCTCCACACACTCCTTTTCCTCACTGCTTTTTATAATTGAATCCCAAGAGTTTTGAGGCAATCTCAACTTTTGTTTTCTTAGAAGGGACAGTGTTTGTGGAGTGTTCTTTAGCAGCTATTGATAACTTCTTTTAAAAAAATTATTCCATACTTGTCTCTACCTCTTTCATGTTACAACTTGCCTTTGAACCTAGTGTAAATAGAACAACGTAGCAAACTTTTTATTTTAGATGGACACATTTAACATTGGTTAAAGCTTTATTTCTGGAGGGATTTATAGATTGGAGACTTCTCTAATTTTAAATTAGTTTTAGGTCTAATTTTTTAAATTTTAAATTAGTTGTAGCAACTAAATTAATTTTAGTTACTATTAATTGATTAAATGTATATCTTTTTTTCTATCTGTACAGCATAATCCCATCAGAGTCGGCCAGTCGGCCCCGAAAGCCCTGTAATTGTACAAAATCACTGTGTTTGAAATTGTAAGTGTTTTTGCAACTGTTTGCTTATTTAATGTAATTAGAAATGCACTTAAAAGTAAATGGAGTTAACTAAAAATTTTTAGCAGACCAAAGCTCATAAGTCTAAGTAATTTAAATAAACATACAAATGAATGTTTGAACATATATGGCAGTGTAAAAATATTATTTCATTCATCTAGAAAGAAATATTTAGAGTCCTTACCATACATGAATCACTGGAGTAGGGGTTAGGGACATAGCAGCATGAGACAGACATAGCTTCTGCCCTTAATAATAATGTTTGATCTTATTTATGACTTTTGTATTTGGTCTCCTAAGTGATGATACTCTAGGTAGTTTTAAAAGTCACTGAATGGTTAATTTGCTTATTAGCATTAAAAAGACTTGACATGAAATAGTTAAATGAAAAGCATTGGTCTTATTGGGGCATAGAATCCAAAGTACTATTACTATAACTCAGATGAGCCAGTTCAACTATTAGAATATAGCTAGTGTTTTTCCTTTTTCAGAATTTTGAAATGCCTTACTTTGGGGGCACATAAAATTTATATGTGTGACATATAATTTATATAATTTATATGTGTGACAGCTCTTGTGTGACAGCTGTTATTGGTTGGACTAAGTTTTTAGGCCACATTTCTAGTACTTGGTGATTTAAACTTTGAGCCTTAGTATGTGGTTGACAATATGTGTTGTTAACTCTTTAACTGGGTAGCTGAGTAGATTTCTGAGATGCTTTACCACATATGTAGTATGTGTACAATATATATACAATGTATGCATAATCAGATAATTAGTTTTCCTTAATAATGACTTTTTACCTTATACTGACTTTTACCTTTCAGGTATTGTGATTGCTTTGCAAATGGTGAATTTTGCAACAACTGCAATTGTACTAATTGTTACAACAATTTGGAACATGAAAATGAAAGGCAAAAAGCAATAAAGGTGATTATTTTTTATTTCATTTAACTGACAGAAATATCCAGTTTCATCAGTTTTATAAAACTCAATTGTCTTGCAAAGAAACGTTATCAATTCCTTTTGCAGTGTTTAAATTTCATCTACTGTGATTTAACTCTAACTGATATTTGATCTGTTTTGCTAGGCATGCCTTGACAGAAATCCAGAAGCCTTTAAGCCTAAGATAGGGAAAGGAAAGGAGGGAGAATCTGATCGACGTCATAGCAAAGGGTGTAATTGCAAACGATCAGGATGTCTTAAAAACTACTGTGAATGCTATGAGGTGAGATGCTGGGTGCGGAAAATAATATCTTTTAAAAACAGTTTTAGAAAGGACCTACTACAAAAATTTACTTGAAAATTGGGAAATCACCTTGCTATTGCAATTTGAAAATATGCACAGTTGGTGCAAAGGCCCTTGTTTTAGGAAGGCCTTCGAGCCTCTGTAGCAGGGCTTCGGAGGAATACCTTGGGTTTATTATTACAGCTTGGGGTCTTACTGGGTGATTTACCATAACTTCTTGGTCATTATGCTCAGAAAGTATGCAGATCAGAACACCAATATATTGATTTTCAATAAAAATAATATCAAAGTGGATTGGAAACTCTCCAGCAGTGATTCTCACCTGAGGTGCAGTTCTACTTACTGTTCTTCACAGGCTTCTTAGAAATATATGGCCGGGTGCGGTGGCTCACACCTGTAATCCCAGCACTTTGGGAGGCAGAGGCGGGCAGATCACTTGAGGTCAGGAGTTCGAGACCTGCCTGGTCAACATGGTGAAACCCCGTCTGTACTAAAATACAAAAATTAGCCGGGCATGGTGGCAGGTGCCTGTAATCCCAGCTACTCGGGAGGCTGAGGCACGAGAATCGCTTGAACCCAGGAGGTGGAGATTGCAGTGAGCCGAGATCATGGCACTGCACTCCAGCTTGGGCAACAGAGCAAGACTCTGTCTCAAATATATAAATATATATTATAAATATATAAATATATATATATATATGGATACAAAATAGCCTGCATCCCAAGGTACAGTCTGGAAATTAAAGGATTATCTTGACCAAAATGCTGGTTATGCCCACTCAAAGAGCACACTGCTCTGCGGAAAACCAAAGTATGTTAAGTTTGCTTTGTGAGCATAAAAATAGGAAAGGGGGATCTGGCATTCTGCTGGATGAGGTTACTGGTCACGGTAGGCAATTGTCTCCATTTTCACTGTTTTGTTGTTCCACTGAGCTGGTTATTTTTACTTATGGGTCAGGCGTCTTCTCTGGAAGATGTAGTTGAAACTCTGCTCTGACAAATGCCATATAAATCTTCCCCTTCTTGCTTTAGACACAGTACTATATAGTTTTATTTTAGAAGCTTATGTGTAACAATCTAGTGATTGAGATTAACCCTAGATTACCATAATTGGTTTCTTGGTATGCCTGAAACTCTTTACTGACAGTCTTTTGGGTGGTTGAGTTATTCCTCTTCTTGGCTCTTCTCATACTCTCATATATTTTCATTCTTTCTTATTCTCAGAGAATTAATTAATTAATTAGTTTATTTATTTATTGGCAGAAAGCCTAGCTTTGCACTTGCTGAAGGTTTGCCCTGCCACAGGAGCATGTCCTCCAGTTCAGTGCCCTCTCCCATACAGCATGTGTCATATGAAAGATTTTGTGTATTGCATTCTCTGTGTAATGAATTCTTTCCTAATCTACTTATTTACAAAGTCAAATACTCCTCTCAGGAAGTAAAGTAGAATAGGGAATAGGAGAGTAACATCTTGTGAGTTCTGCAGATGATATGAATGAAAATTGCATAAAGAGACAAGTTTTTTGTTGTTGTTGTTGTTGTTATTTTGTTTTTGAGACGGAGTCTCGCCCTGTCGCCCAGGCTGGAGTGCAGTGGTGCGATCTTGGCTCACTGTAATATCCGTCTCCTGGGTTCAAGC
Source organism: Homo sapiens (assembly GCF_000001405.40). Classification (NCBI taxonomy): domain Eukaryota; kingdom Metazoa; phylum Chordata; class Mammalia; order Primates; family Hominidae; genus Homo; species Homo sapiens. The sequence continues at coordinate 82,934,320 of NC_000004.12, read as the reverse complement.
GATTCTCCTGCCTCAGCTTCCCAAGTAGGTGGGATTACAGGCACCTGCCACCATGCCCAGGTAATTTTTGTATTTTTTGTTTTTAGTAGAGACAGGGTTTCACCACGTTGGCCCGGTTGCTCTCAAACTCAAGTGATCCGCCCACCCATCAGCCTCCCAAAATGTTGGGATTACAGGCATGAGCCACCGTCGCAAGTTGATTTTTTAAACTGTCTTAACATCTCAAAATCCAACAAGCCAGTTTTCATCCAGTGTTGGAATCTTTTTTAGTCTTTCTTCTTTTGAATACCTGATGAAATAGCCGGCTTGCGTTTAGAAGCCATATCATACAAAAATTGTCACGAATATGTAAAAATTAACACTTCTTTTCAGAACATGGAAATTTATGTAAAGTTGGATCAGAAGGGTAAAGCGACCCTTTCATGTATATGGCATTGAAAAATCAATACATGCTGGGCATATGAAATTCAGACATATAGGAACTAACCATTTAATTGAACTGGTTAACAACCTGTGAATTAATAGAAGTAGAAAAGGTACTGGACTGGTTTAAAAGTGTTAGAAGAGACAGCCCTACCCTACCTATTCTAATGAAATTTTGTCGGGACAGATACACTGTCTAGTAACAAATTTATCATTCCAAAAGTTATGTACCAAAAAATGGAGAAACTTAGAATATACTAAACTATGAATAGCAGTGGCTAGTTGGCTGTAAATTAGCTGTGGGCTTATCTGACATTTTGTGTTGAACTGTTCTTTTGACACCTTGTTCTTCAGCTGAATTGGCTTTTTAATCCTGTTGGTTTGCATCTGGACAACACATTCATGTGTCCTTTCAATGCCTATAGGCTTGTTGATTGGATGAATGGCTACCCACCTTATTTCATGGCTGTGTCTTTTCTTGTGACCATTTTCCTCCCCTCCACATCTTTTTTTTTTTTGGTATAGGGGAAGTTAAATTCGCCAAGCTAAATGTCATTGTAATTTCTCCATCTGAGCTCCGGTTAGACACTATTAATGTCTTTCCTATGGTTCTTAAAATATAAAGATAATTTTTAAAAAACAAATATATATATATATATAAAATCTAAATTACCATTATTGGTATGTTTTCCCCACTCTGAGGTCAGGAATTTTCTCTCGTCATCACTAGATGCTTATTAAGTATTGCTTTAGTTAGATTCCCATTCAGGCTCACAGTAACCCAGTTAACACAAACTTACATCCATTTTTTCCTTTGGTAAGTGGAATTTATTGGTGTCTTATAAGAAAGGAGCAGAGTAAATGTGTTTATAATGCAGCCCGTTTATCTTGCTAGGTGCTATAGAGAGAAAGGACAGTTTTATTTATTTATATAGACATGGGTTCATTGAAGAAAACACAGCTAACAAAAACATACTCAAATTCGTTAGAAATCAGGGAAATATACATTAAAGAACAGTGAAATCTCACTTTATCATCCCCACCATCAGATTATATATATATATATTTTTTTGAGATGGTGTTTCATTCTTATTGCCTAGGCTGGAGTGCAATCGCGTGATCGCGGCTCACTGCAACCTCCGCCTCCCGGGTTCAAGCGATTCTCCTGCCTCAGCCTCTCGAGTAGCTGAGATTACAGGCATGTGCCACCATGCCTGGCTAATTTTTTTTTTTTTTTTTTAAAGAGAGATGGGGTTTCTCCATGTTGGTCAGGCTGGTCTTGAACTCCGGACCTCAGGTGATCCTCCCACCTCGGCCTCCCAAAGTGCTGGGATTTCAGGCGTGAGCCACCGCGCCTGGCATAAAATGTTAAAAGGAATTATAATATTCATTGTTGGAGGGAATGTGGGAAAGCCTTCCTTTACACATTGCTGATGAGATGTGAGGTATTACAGCCTTTTGAAAAAGCAATCTGGCTACATCTCTTAAAATTCAAATACACAGGCCAGGCGCGGTGGCTCACATCTGTAATCCCAGCACTTTGGGAGGCCGAGGCGGGTGAATCACGAGGTCAGGAGGTCGGGACCATCCTGGCTAACACGGTGAAACCCCGTCTCTACTAAAAATACAAAAAAAATTAGCCGGGCGTGGTGGCGGGTGCCTGTAGTCCCAGCTACTCGGGAGGCTGAGGCAAGAGAATGGCGTGAACCTGGGAGGCGGAGCTTGCAGTGAGCTGAGATCGCGCCACTGCACTCCAGCCTGGGAGACAGAGCGAGACTCCATCTCAAAAAAAAAAAAAAAAAAAATTAAAATACACAGACCTGTTAACCAGTGAGCCCAATTCTAGAAATCTAACTCAGAGAAATAAAAAGGCATAATGTATAACAAAAAAGTCTTTTTATGCATCATTTGTGGTACCCAAGAACTGGAAACAAAAATAAACACCCATCAATAGGGAAATGAATGCCCAATAAAATTGACACATCATACCAGGGATTTACACCTAGCTGTTAAATAGAATGAATTCAAGCTATGCCAGATGACTTTGGAGGGATTCCATGAGTTGTAAGAAAAGCAAGATGCAGAAAAGCAGATAATATGATTTTGAAAAACTAAAAAATGAAAGTTCTATATTTGTATATACATAAGGTCTAGGATTTTATATATACTTACATTTGACATATTTTTACATGAAAATATATATTTATATGAAATGTAAAATACACACTAGTTTCATATGGGTTATTGAAGGGTTTGGGGAATCTGAAGTCCCTCCCGAACTCCCTCTTCAGATTAAAAATAGCATAATAGAATAATAAAAATGGCATCTGTGAAATCCCTTTAATGTGAAATTGTATACATATGCATAAATGGGAGGTCATCTATATGTTAATGATGATTTGATTGAGGTGGCTGGATTCTGGATGACCTTTATTTTTGATATTTTAGGATATCATTCATGTTTATGAAAAACATGTGTAACTCATATCTGAAGAAAATCTATATTCATAGTGGGGGAAAACTGACATGGAAGGACACAGCCACAAACGTTGTACAGCCACTGTCAGACTTAAGAATACCTAACCTAGCTAGCCACATGTGTAGTTACTGTTTGTCAGCCAGAGATACTTCCATCTAATCTTATTATCAGTTGACCAGGTAATGCTATTAGCTGTTGATTTGATTGTGGCATCTACTTATAGTAATGTATTTTGGTTTTGATTTGGAAACTTTTCTTATGTAAATCTTTTAGGCAAAAATAATGTGTTCCTCAATATGCAAATGTATTGGCTGTAAGAATTTTGAAGAAAGCCCGGAAAGGAAGACATTGATGCATTTGGCAGATGCAGCTGAAGTAAGGGTACAGCAACAAACAGCAGCCAAGACGAAGTTATCCTCTCAAATTTCAGACTTGCTTACTAGGCCAACACCAGCTTTAAATAGTGGAGGCGGAAAGTAAGTCAGTATTTTAATCTTTTTATAGTACTTCCCAAATACTTTTGGTAAAGTTTCTTTTCAGGGGGCAAAGTTGAGTTTATATTTTTGGTTGTTGCAAACCTGATTTTTGTGTTTTCTTTCCATCTTTAGTTACTTGTAAAGGAATTTAAAGGTAACAGAAACCACTGTCAGATTATTGTGCAGTTCGAAAATGCACAGTAATGATTTAGTCCACTGTGCTTAATTTCTGTCTACTAAGATGAGGTAATTATGTAATTTGAGGAACCCCAAAGAAAAGCAGATGTTCATATGTCTCGCTGAACGTGTAATTATGTTTTTGCATTTTCCTACCTTCTCTTGCCTTTTCCATTTCTTGGAGCACTTTTCCCATCCTATTGGACCACCCATCACACTGTAATAGTGCAGCTCCGTATTGTTATCTCTTTCATCTGCTGAGCTCTGGAGTAGAAAAGCCTGACCTCTAAAGTCAGGTAGACTTGAGTTTATACTATCTGTGCTACTTAGTAGTTTGTGAATCTCTTTGAGCCTCAGTTTTCTTATCCTTAAAATAGCCTATACCAGGTGGCTGTGAGGAATAAGGCATGTCTATAATATCTCCAGTGTTTGTCAAGACCTGATAAAACATAGTTTGTGATTTGGACTGGACTGGACTGGTATTAGAAAGTTTGTTAGAGGTTAATCTGAGGAATTATTAAATGGAATGAGCCTTGCAAATGGCATATTATTTAAAATGCCTAAGTAGGCCAGGCACAGTGGCTCACGCCTATAATCCCAGCACTTTGGGAGGCCAAGGTGGGCAGATCACCTGAGGTCAGGAGTTTGAGACTAGCCTGGCCAACATGGTGAAACCCCATCTCTACTAAAAATACAAAAAATTAGCTGGGCATGGTGGTGTGCGCCTGTAATCCCAGCTACTTGGGAGGCTGACGCAGGAGAATCGCTTGAGCCTGGGAGGCAGAGGTTGCAGTGAGCCAAGATCACGCAATTGCACTCCAGCTTGGGCAACAAGAGCAAACTCCGTCTCAAAAATAAAATGCCTAAACTGAAAATGAGATCCAGTGCTTATAAAAATAAGGCTTTTTTGTACAAAATATTTAAGATATTAGTTTTGGTTTTTTGTTTTGTTTTCTTTTTGAGATAGAGTCTCACTCTGTTGCCCAGGCTGGTGTGCAGTGTCATGATCTCAGCTCACTGCAATCTCCGCCTCCTGGGTTTAAGCAATTCTCCTGCCTCAGCCTCCTAAGTAGCTGGGATTACAGGCATACACCACGACGCCCAGCTAAATTTATGTATTTTTGGTAGAGATGAGGTCTCACTATGTTGGCCAGCCTGGTCTTGAACGCCTGACCTCAGGTGATCTGCCCATCTCAGTCTCCCAAAGTGCTGGGATTACAGGCATGAGCTACCATGCCTGGCCTTAAGATATTAGTTCTAAAGAACTCTTGACTGGAATATAAACAGCAAATGGTTTTTGACTGAATAAAGTGGAAGTGGTCAGGCACCTTAATAAGACTTATAACCTGGGATTCTTTCTGGTCTTTAGAGTATTGAATCTAATCTCCACATGGAGATTAAAGATACTGCTACAGTAAAATATTTATAATTAATTTTTAAAATTGGGAAGATGTTAACAATATGAAAACAAAATTATAAAATTATAATTATAATCAAAATTACATATTAAAAACTTGTATAAAAAAAGTTATGCTAGCATGTTAACAAGCTTGTTTCAAGTGACCAAAACCTTAAATTAATATTTTCTAGTTTAAAGTGCTTGTTTGTATGTTAAAGATTCCTATACAGCTGCATGGCAGCCTGAATTCTCAATTACCCTCTCTTGCCATAGTGAGCTTTAATTTCAGACTTCATTATTTAGTATACTTCTGTTAGTGACCGCTTACTCACAGGTTGTTGAGTTAGTGGTTTAGATTATGTTGCTTGACTTAATCTGTCACAGGCTTTAAGACTTGAGTTGGCTGCAAATATAGCAAGCCTCACGATGGGTTGCTCCAATTTAATACTCAATAGCTCAGGTCTTTATGAATGCAACTCTGTGTACAGAACATTTGGTTTCGCCATTTTGTTTTGTTGTGCTAGAACGATGCAGAATTTTGGAATGTTTTCTACAAACAGTATCAGTGACTATGGTAAAGTGCTTTATTTTTCATTTTGCCGAAGAGATAGTGCTGTCAATTCCCAGTATTATTCATTCATTCAGCAACTATTCATGTAGCGTCTCTATGTCATGCACTATTCTAGGCACTGGAGCAACAGCAGTAAATAAGAATTGAACTTACAGAGCGTACATTCATGATTTAGGAGGATTTTAGTTAAAGAAATTCTAGTCTTCGTGTAGACTATTATCTTTTAGTTAACCACATAACCTTGCCTAGGTAATAAGTAACGTGTTTTATGTTAAATTTCCTGAACAATATTCTTACAATATGTGAATAAAACCAAATTTAACTTTTTAAAGCCCTTTTTAGGATGTGCTTGTGCTCACTGTGTAAATTGTGATGCTCATCCTGCTGGTGAATTGTGAAAGTGTCAGTAGAGATTTCCAGATGAAAGAATGTTATCCACTTTTGTTGTTATTTAACACCACCATCATCTTTCTCTTTCAAAAATCATTTCAGATTGCCATTTACATTTGTAACTAAGGAAGTAGCTGAAGCCACATGTAATTGCCTCCTTGCCCAGGCAGAGCAGGCAGACAAGAAGGGAAAATCAAAGGCAGCAGCGGAACGGATGATACTTGAGGAATTCGGACGATGTTTGATGAGTGTCATCAACTCTGCAGGAAAGGCAAAAAGTGACCCTTGTGCCATGAATTGCTAACTCTTGCACAAAAGACTGATAAATGGAACTGTACAGAAAATTTAAGGTGCAGGGACACTTGATTTTCTGGAAGAAAAACAATTACTGTATTTTAATTCAGTCCTTGTTTTAAAAGACCTGAAATTATAATACTGAAGGAGAAGAAATTTTAAATGAGGAAATTAGTACATTTTAAATCTTAGTTAAATCTGCTTATGCCCCTTCTAAATTGAATTTTTCTTTATTATATAGATTTTTTAATTTGCTTGGGTTTCTTAAGAATTAGATGTTCTCTTTCTGATACCTTTGACAAAAAATGTTTATAAATTCATATAATTTATAATGTATGGTGTTGTATGACTTTGTTAATAGAAAAGCCAAAGCAGCAGTGGTTAGCACCCATTCTTTGGGACTTGATCTAGAATATCTGCAGACAGAATGTTACATAAACAAATTCTTATGAAACACATTCAAATGACATTTTGTATTTAGAAAAGGACTATCTTTTAAAGAAAAAGCAGCCTTTTAGGGCCGATTCTGGAATAATATCCTGTTGTCACTTTGGGAATGTCAGAAGGGGAAACAATCCCCAGGCACACTAAAAATTTTTTAAAGTTATTTAAAAAAACATATAAAATATTAAAGGACAGTAAATCTCAGAGGATGGGCAATGTGTTTCTATAATAAGGAAAGGCTAACAGATGCTCTGGGCTGTCTCCATTTTCTTTCAAAGAGGTGGTATGTATTTGAAGTAATAAATTGTCAAAGTGATTACTGGGTACTATTAAAATGATAGGTGGATATAAATGGAAGTAAACATTATGTAGTGATAATATAGAACCTCACATAGTAATCAAGTATAAAATTTGGCATGGGTGGAGAAACAAAGAATAGGGAAGCTGCAAAAGATGAATTTAGAGAAGTTTTCATCTATACAATCAATTATTTTTACAGACTTTTTTTTTTTTTTTTTTGAGACGGAGTCTCGCTGTGTAGCCCAGGCTGGAGTGCAATGGTGAGATCTCAGCTCACTGCAACGCCTCTGCCTCCCAGGTTCAAGCGATTCTCCTGCCTCAGCCTCCCGTGTAGCTGGGACTACAGGTGCATGCCACCATGCCCGGCTCATTTTTTGTATTTTTAGTAGAGACGGGGTTTCACCGTGTTAGCCAGGATGGTCTCGATCTCCTGACCTCGTGATTCGCCCGCCTCGGCCTCCCAAAGTGCTGGGATTACAGGCATAAGCCGCCGTGCCAGGCCCTTTTTATAGACTTTTGAACTAAGAGGTTTCAAACCAAATCGCAACTCTTACTTGATTTACAGAAATGGGCCTCCTAACAAAATTTTCAAAATTGTGGTGGGATTTCTTTTTATAAGGGAAGTTTAATATGGCATTATTTTCAGCCAGTGATTTGGAAGGTCTGTTTTCCTATAATTACTAAAATAACCTAAATCATTTTCAGTATTCAAAAACTCTATGAATTTAAGAGCCTGTTGTGACAGGACTCTTGATTTTATGACAAGAAAAAACCATGTTGGAATTCAGGCATTTTGTTAGGTACCTTAATCATCAGTAATTAGTATATGATTATTTCATTTCCTACAAGGACTCTATAGTTGTATGTATTAAGTGTGTATATATGTTCATATGAACATGCAAGATATAGGCAATAGAAATTAAGTAATCCAAAAGAGGATTCCGTTATTCACTAAAGTATCTTCCTTTTAAATTTGGATTTATAAAATCATAGTGCAGTAACTTTAAATGTAGATAGTTCAAACATTCTTAGCACCTCAATCTAGTATGTTTAATTAAAATTTGTATAAATGTAAATTAGTGTAAGAGGGTAAAATAATAATCAAGTTATTTTTCAAAAGATTGCAATAAGTTTTTGGTCTAAACTTAAACTTTGTTCATTTTGTACATACTCTGTGTTAATTCTAATTGCACCTTTGTGATGTGTATTTATATACAGTGTGCAGAAAATGTTCGTGAAATTTTGATTACAATTGTAGATTATGTATGATGGCATTGCTTACGAATGTTTTGCTTGTAAAAAAATTTCAAGGTGCAATCAAATGCTACTAGTTTTTCTGATTTTCAAAAATCTATCTATCTAAAATATTAAGCCTTTTCCTTCCTGTGTAGTACTTACTAAATAACTTTTTGTATTCAGGCATTTGCATCAAATTGCTGAACAAGATGAATAGCCACATTAATTCAATGATTTTAAAAGACTATTTGGGGAGGGTTGGGTATATAATTTTTTAGCTCTATTTACATCCCAAAGTAGAAAGATTAAATTTATATTTACTAGAGCTATTCAAAGAATACACTTTTCTATATTGTAAAAACAGGACAGCAAAGTAAATCATACAGAAAATAAACATTTATACTATTCTGTAAAAAAGGTTTTGCATTTTTTCTTTAGTATAATAACACCACTTTATTAACCATTTAATATGCAAAAAACCTTTTAAATTATCTGAAGTAAATTTGACATTACTTCTGAAAACACACAACTAAAAAATTCTATCATTTTGCTCAGTTATTACTAACATAAATTGCTTTGAAATGAGAATATGTCTTCTCTTTTTTTCCCCACTGTTTCTTTTAAGAGCAGAAACTCAGCCGGGCATGGTGGCTCACGCCTGTAATTCCAGCACTTTGGGAGGTCAAGGCGGGTGAATCACTTGAGTCCAGGAGTTCTAGACCAGCCCAGGCTACATGGTGAAACCCTGTCTCTACTAAAAATATAAAAAAATTCACTGCGTGTGGTGGCGCACACCTGCAGTCCTCGCTACTTTGAAGGCCTGAGCCTGCAGAGGTTGAGGCTGTAGTGAGTCAAAATTACACCACTGCACTCCAGCCTGGCAATCAGAGTGAGACCTTGTCTCAAAAACAAAAATACCTAGAAAATCAATCTACTCTGTCTTTTAATGTGAAATGTTCTTATGATAGCTATCTTTCTTAGTTTCCTTTTTTTCTGAAGCACTAAACACAACCTGTAGGTCTTATCTCTGGGGTCTGGGAAACAGAACCTTAATGTTACAGGTACAAAAGCAAACAGAGTGATTAGTTCCCCATTTTCTGGTAGTGAACAACTGACATTTTTTCAATCTTATGTAAAATGTGAATAAAAATAATTTTAGAAAAGTTATCTATTTTTATTGTTCTGTAACACAAATAGTTAAGAAAATGAATACTTGTTATGTAAATGAAGCTTCACAGCAGGACCTCCGGCCATAACTTTGATCATGTTGTATCTCTTAAGCATTTTATATAGGAATTCTGGTGTGGCTACCCAAAGCAGAAGGGAAGGCAATCAACTAAAAATCCCTTTCTATTGGAGTTATTTTCATCATGTAAATTACTTCAGGCTTTTCTTGTTAGGGCTTCTTGAATGCACATTTTGTCATTATCTGTATACCAAAGGTGAGCTTTTTTTTTTAATCCATGTGATTTTATGAGTTGAAAGCTATAAGGTTTTTTTTAATTAAAAATTTCCTTCTAAATGGCAAATTTTGTGACAGCATTTAAGACACTCAGTTTCTATTCAAAAGCAATAAGAAAACAAGTATGTTTAGGGTTATGTTTATTATAAGGTCACTGGGACTTTATAAAACTGTCATCTATCATACTGGCATATGAAATCTGGTCATAGTATTATAAAAAGAATACATCATGACCAAGTAGGGTTTATCCTGGGAATAAAAGTTGATCCAATGTTTTAAAAAAAACATAGTTCACTGTATCAGCATACAAATAAGAAAAGCTAAATGATCATCTCAAAAGTTGCAGAAAATGACTGTGGATATAGGTAAAACTGCTAAATTATATTTTCTTGTTTGTTTCTTGAGATGGAGTCTCACTCTGTTGCCCAGGCTAGAGTGCAGTGGTGCGATCTCAGCTCACTGCACCCTCTGCCTCCTGGTTCAAGCAATTCTCATGTCTCAGTCTCCCGAGTAGCTGGGGTTACAGGCATGCGCCACCAAGCCTGGCTAATTTTGTATTTTTAGTAGTGATGGGGTTTCACCACATTGGTCAAGCTAGTCTCCAACTCCTGACCTCAGGTGATCCACCCGCCTTGGCCTCCCAAAGTGCTGGGATTACAGGCGTGAGCCACCGCGCCCGGCCACTATATGCTTATTTAAGAGGGTAAATATTATGGTTATGTGAATTTTATCTCAGAAATTTTTTTACCCAAAAGGTGCAGAAAAACATATCTGGTAAAATTCAGCCACATATGATTCAATAAACAAAAAAATAAAGTCTTCAGAGAACTAAGACTAAACCTGATAAAGACCATTTACAAAAAAAGCCTACAGCTAACATACACATAGTGAAGAATGCTTTCCTTTAAGACTGGGAGCAAGGCATTCTTATTCAACAATGTAGCTCACTGTGCAATAAGGCAGGTGGGAAAAAGGCCCACAGATTGGAAATAAATAAATAAGACTACTTGATGATATGAATGCCTACATAGAAAAATCAAAGAATCTCAAAACTACTAGAATAACTGAATTTAGCAAAATTAGTATGCAAAAGTTGACTGTACTTCTATGTAGTAGCAATGAATGTTTAGAAACTGAGATTTTTAAATCACCACTTACAGATTTCAGAAAACATGAAATCTAACAAAGATATGTAAGATCTGTGCTGAAAAGTAAAAAACTGATAAAATCAAAGAACCTAAAAAAAAGAAGATAGCCCATGTTTCATGGATTAGAAGATTCTATATTATTAAGATGTCAATTGTCTCCACATTGATCTATAGATTCAACACAACTTCAGTCAAAATCCCAGCAGGAATTTTTATAGAAATCAACAAGCTGATGATAAAACTTATATGGAAAGGGGCAACCAGAACAGCCAAAACATTTTTGAAAAAAGAACAAAGTTGGAGAACTCCCACCTAATTTCAAGACAGATAAAACTAGAGTAATTAAGACTGGTAGTGGATAGATCCTATTTATCAGTGGAAGACAATAGAGACCCCATATATATAGTTGGTTTTTTATCATTGTATGAAAGTAGTTCAATGGGGATAGTTTTTTAAACAAATGGGGCTGGCATATCCATATGTAAAAATATGAACTTCATGGCTGGGTGTGGTGGCTCATTCCTGTAATCCCAGCACTTTGGAAGGCTGAGGCGGGTGGATCACTTAAGGTCAGGAGTTCAGACCATCCTGGCCAACAAGGCAAAACCCTAACTACTAAAAACACAAAAATTAGTCGTGCGTGGTAGCACACACTTGTAGTCAGCTACTCAGGAGGCAAAGGAATCACTGGAACCCGGGAGGTGGAGTTGCAGTGAGCCAAGATTGTGTCACTGCACTCTCCAGCCTGAGCAAAAGAGCGAGACTCAGTCTCAAAAAAAAAAAAAAAAAAAAAAAAAAAAAAAAAAAAAAAGGACCTCAACTCATATACCAAAGTTAACTGAGAATGAATCACAGCTTACATCCCAGAAAGAAAAAAATAGAAAAACTGGACTTATCAAAATTAATTAACATCTGCTTTTCAAAAGACAGTTAATAAAAAAAGCCACAGACTGAGAAAAACATAATTGCAAAACACATCTGATAATGCACTTATATCCAGAATATGTAACTAATGCTCAGTAAGAAAAGAGCCAATCTTCCAAAATATGAACAAAAGACTTGAACAGACATTTCACCTAAGAAGATACACGATGGCAAATAAGCATATGAAAAGGTGCTCCACATCATTGGTTATTAGGAAAATGCAAGTGTAAACTACAATGAAATAGCACTAGACACCTCTTAGAATGGCTACTTGAAAAAAGACCAAAATCCTGACAATACCAAGTGCTAAGAAAGAAGTACAGCAACGGGAACATTGATATATTGCTGGCCAGAATGCAAAACAATAGTCACTTTGGAAGTTTTGGCAGTTTGTTATAAGGTTAAACATACCCATCTTGTGGTTATAGCACATTTTTTTGTTTTCATTAATCAGTCAATGGACATTTAGGCTTTTTCTCCACTTTTTGGCTATTATCAATGAAGTTCATGTACACATTTTTGTGTGGACATTTTCATTTCTCTTGGGTATATGCCTAGGAGTACAATTTGCTAGGTCATAGGTAACTCTAAGCTTTTGAGGAACTGCCAGGCTATTTTCCAAAGCTGCTGCACTAGCTGGACTATTTTACATTCTCACCAACAAAAGTGTATGAGGGTTCTAATTTCTCCACATTCTTGCCAATACTATGTCTTTCCTTTTTTTTCTTTCAGAGATGGGGGGGTCTCACTGTTTATTATCCAGGCTTGTTTTGAACTCCTGGGTTGAAGCAATCCTCCTGCCTCGGCTTCCCAAAATGCTGGGAGTTGAGGCATGAACTACTGTGCCTGGCCATGTCTTATTTATTTTTTTTTGAGACGGAATTTTGCTCCTGTTGCCCAGGCTGGAATGCAGTGGCAAGATCTCAGCTCACTGCAACCTCCGCCTCCCGGGTTCAAGCGATTCTCCTGCCTCAGCCTCCTGAGTAGCTGGATTACAGGCACGTGCAACCACACCCAGCTAATTTTTTGTATTTTTAGTAGAGACGGGGTTTCCTCATGTTGCCAGGCTGATCTCAAACTCCTGACCTCAGGTGATCCACCCGCCTCGGCCTCGCAAAGTGCAGGGATTACAGGCATGAGCCACCGTGCCCGGCCTCCATGTCTTCTTTATAATAGCTGTCCTAACAGGTGTGATGTGATGTTTCATTGTCATTGATTGGCATTTTCTGGAGAGCTGACGTGAACATATATTTATGTATTTTATGGCCTTCTGTATAACTCATTTGGAGAAAAGTCTATTCATATTCTTTACCCATTTAAAAATTTTGGTTATTTGTCGTTTTATTATTGAGTTATAGGAATTCTTTGTAGATTCTACATATAATAACTTAATTAGATAAATGATTTGCAAACATTTTTTTCCATTCAATGGGTTGTCTTTCACTTTCTTGATGGTATCCCTTCAAAGCACAAGTTAATTTTGATGAAGTCCAATTATTTTCCTTTGCTGTGCTTTAAGTGTCTTAAGAAACCACCACCTGGCCAGGCACAGTGGCTCACACCTGTAATCCCAGCACTTTGGAGGCCGAGGCGGGTGCATCATGAGGTCAGGAGTTCCAGACTGGCCTGGCCAACACAGTGAAATCCTGTCTCTACTAAAAATACAAAAATTAGCCAGGCATGGTGGTGCGTGCCTGTAGTCCCAGCTACTCGAGAGGCTGAGGCAGGAGAATCGCTTGAACCCAGGAGGTGCAGGTTGTGGTGACCCAAGATCACACCACTGCACTCTAGCCTGGGCAACAGAGCGAGACTCTGTCTCAAAAAAAAAAAGAAAGAAAGAAAAAAAGAAAAACCACCACCTAATCCAAACCTCAAAGATTAACTCTATATTTTCTAAAAGTTGTATAGCCTTACCTCTTCTATTTAGGTGTTTGCTTCATTTTGAGTGAATTTTTTTGCATGTGGATATCCATCTCTCCTAGCACTAGTTGTTGGAAAGCAGGATAAATTTTTAAAGGGAATGCTTTTCTCTGAAGAAAAAAATGGCCAAGATGCAAAGTAAAAATTATAACCAAACTGCCCTAAATCAAATATGAATGAATAATTTATTTCACTGTAAAGTGTATTGTATCTGGTATAAGACTCCAAGCCCTTTCACAAGTGCAGGAGCAATTAACTGGGCTAAATGTAGTGATGAGACTATTCTTATCTAAGAGAAATCTGTGACCTTCCAATTTTTGAATATTCACTGTCTCAATCGACCATCTCTTTCCAATTTACCTAGCACTTGAAAGAATAATGCACAACACTAAAATACAGACATTTGTATTTTAGTCAAATGTAACACCAAAGGGCATTAGATACTACACATATGAATCTTGCTTTACATAAAGATCAGGTACAGAGCTTGGATTTATATAAGCAATAAGTTAAAGTTGGTGATTTTCAAACAGGCTTCCTTTAAATAAGATTTATCCTGGTGTATTTAAATTCAATTCTATTTACAAACAACAAAAAGCACAATATTCAGACTTCTCAGCAATAAGTTTTGTATAAAATGAAGTATAAACTGGTTACACTTCAAAACTTAAGCCTCTGTTTGAGGTAGAATAAACAAACATCAAAATATACTTTGTAAGGGGAATTTTAATCAATATACTTTTACGTTATCATTAATCTTTTACAATTCTAAGTTTTCATATTAGGATTAACTGTACTTTGGGAACACTTATTCAGTGACAAAAAAGAGTAGATGTTTTACAACACAGGTGAATAATGTGCTTGTTTCTTCTATCCGTTAAACTATCCTCATTTGTGAAAGTAGAGTTACCTATGTTTTTCTGTCCCTCTTTTCAAATGTGGATGTGAGTGGAGAAAATTGTCCTTAGTATGCTTCCATCTTCAGATTAGGTTTCTCCCTGTTTTCCGATGAGCATTGAGCTCTTTCAAGTCAAACTAAGTGTCCAGCCTATTATTCAAAAGTAATATTTCAAAGTTCAGAGATAATGGATGGTGAAAAACACATTAGGTATGTTCTTTCCAGATTGCACTCCCCAGCGTGGCTGCAGCACAAGGAAGAATCTCATGGCTCATGTACTTTACCTTCTGCCTGACAAAGTTTAAGCACTTCTATTTTAGGGTATCCTGGGACAAGGGGATTTTTGCAGTATTTGATATTTGCTTGAGCCTAATTTTCAAACTATAATTTTCATATTTAAGTAAAAGTTATCTTCAAAGTTTTATAGGTATTGTCAATATTCTTAAGAATCATAAACCAAAGATCTTTCAGAAATGTAGTCTAGTCATAAATGGAGTCAATATTTTGATAACTCATAGTTGTTGTTTTTCTTGTTTTTGAAGCAGATTGAACAAGTTAAAACTGTGTCCAGTAACACTGCTTAGTCTTACAGTAGTAAATTCAAAGACAGTACCTGTTGGCTAGTTTGCTCCTACTGACCTACTGCTTTCTATATTTTGGAAAACTCATAAATGCTGCAAGCCATACCAAAAGTATAAGGAGATTTTGTGATATGCAGAATTTGAAATTTTAATAAGTCAGAATTGCAAACTTGTCCACTGTGCAGAATGCGCAATTTATAAAATATGGTAAATTGAACTTCAAAAAATGTTGATCAAGTATTCTTAATTAAAATGTTAATATATTTTAGGTCTCTCATTTGAATGGATATCCATCGTTACTTAGCAAATGCCTGAATTTACTACTGGTATTAGCAAAACTTGAACATTTATAATCCTGTACAGATGACCAGTGTTTCCTTGATAAAGTTTTCATATCAGTTCTCTCTGAATGATGTTTTAAAGGATTCTGTGCAACATTTTTAGCTCTGATATTTAAGAAACAGATTATTATATCCTTTAGCAACTTGACAAAGTGATTGATGGCACACACTTCTCCATCAAAGAGATGCTTATTCACATCTACAAAAAGATTAATATGCCCAGAAAGCTCACATAATATTTTCTGTTGAAGATACAATTCCCTTTGTTTAGAAACTAGTTCAAAAATTGCCATTCTTGAATGGGTTCTTACAACTCGCTCACAAATATTTATGACCCGACACAGACTTTCTGAAGGAAAATGCAAACCATTCTTCTTTTTAACAAATAATAGTGACCCAATTTTAGAGGCTTTGAGATCCGATGCATACAGTGCAGTGATGCAGTCCTCACAAGTTAAAAGAGCTGATAACTTGTTTGCAACATAACCAGCATAACAGATGAGATTTCGCCTATGATCTGACAGGTCTAGTAATGCCTCACTTAGTGAACAATGAGACCAGTCTTGACAAATACCCTCTTCGTGAAAGACAGTCTTTGTAACGCTGACACCATACTGACGTTGAACTGTCCAAAGCGCCAAGTCTTTCCTTCGAGCAATTGAAATGTCAAAGATGCTTACTTTGCTTAGAAAAACTTCATCTTGAAATTTGTATCTGGTCTCCAAATTATAGTAAGCTTTCTGGAATGCCATGCAGGTAGGGCTAGAACTTGTTACTAATACCTGCCTAAGCATCTTTAGAAATAATTCCAGATGATCATGACTGAATTTGTAAGTCAGAAGATAAGGAAAAGGCATGACCTTTGGGAAAACATAATTTTGGTAGAGCCATTTTAAGCTCTCAGCATTGAGCAAAAATCCCAGGAATCCTAGTTTTTGCTTACCTTTAATTATTTGATTATTGCTAGTGTCAGATAATGTAACAAAAATAGTCTTGGCTTCAATTAACACGTGGTTTATTTTACTGTAAGTTTCAGGCAACAGAGGCCCTTTAAGTCCCTTTCCATAACAGTTCCTACTATTAAAGATGTCAAACAGATTGTTAATTAAACGTAAAAAATGGATGGTACCAATACAGTTTTGAAAAGGTGGCAGGTCTAAGGATAACAAATATTCTAATGCACTGGCTACACTCTCACTAAAGAGTTGGGTGGCACTATTCACTTTCAGTACATGATTTTTCAAATTTGCAAGTGTACTTGGTATTCTTTCCATATTTGATAATTCCTGTTCCTCCAGTGCTACTAACTCCACGAGGTGCTGCCAATGTGCTATACCATTAATAAACTGAATGCTTTGAAAATTCTGAAATGCATTTCTTATTAATCTTAGCAAGTGGCAAGAGTCAAAGAAGTATGCAATCTGTTGACTAGAAGATGAAGGATGCTGAAATGTACATTTCATGTCGTCTCCATCAATATGTATCCCCAATGCTTTTGCCATCTGAACACTATGTGCTGTGGCATCAGATGTAACAGCCAGAACTGTGATTCCTATGTCACTCAGTTTACCAATAGTCAGACGAAGCAGCTGAGCCTGCAAATATCCAGATGCTCTGTTTACAAAAAAATAACCAAGAGGTGTTCTCCAATGGCCAAAAATACCCACTGCCATTAACAAAACAGTTTCTGAAGCAAGTGGCGTTTCATCAGCATCAAGTTTTCCAAGACCAAAGTCCATAAACCCCTGCAAACTGTGACTGCTAGGATCCCACTGAAGCTGTTGCTTGAGAGGCATACTTTTTATTAACAATGAACAGTATTGATAGAGCTGATCTCCATTCTCTACTCTTCGTTGAAGAAAAGAAAAAATGTTGCTGTTGAAACCTGGACTGGGTTGGCATTTGGATAACCACCTAGAATACATAAAAAGTGAAAGAACACTCAAAGAGAAATAAAAAGACAAATGGGAAAATGCCTTAAGCACTATTAAAGTAGTCTCCCATCCCTGTAGAAATAAAGCCAAGTATATAAGCAGCCAAATTCTATAGATATTTTCAATGGTAAATTCATCGTTACAATAAAATAGTAAGATAAACTTAGAAACACAAAGTAGTATTTTAAGATGCAAACATCCAACATTTTTAATTTCTCATTTATTCTTTAAAAAGTAAACCAACTAACCAGTTTGTTCTAACTGATCTTTTTATATTGTAAATCATAAACAAGTCTTACCTGTAAATTCACTGAAATGAGAAAACTGCTGAATGTGAAGGAATCTTTGAGAACATCTAGTACATCTACCTCATTTTACAGATTAGGAAACTGGGACAGAGGGAGAGGTTAAGCGACTTGGCCCATAATGTACTGTTAGTTATGAACGAATGTGAAACCTGGCTTTCCTGATGCCCAGGAGTTTAGTGCATTTCTCACTCTTTACAGCCTCAAAATTACACCCTTAAAGGCATATAACAAGTGTGCATCTGCACCCCTATACAACCTACCTGTGCTACTATCTTAGGAGTTCTTTCATAGTATCCCTGCTCTTCTCAGACTGCTAATTATTTTCTTCCTATAATGGTGTCTATCTTTGGAATTCTTCTTCCTTCTAGTTAACTCTTTCTAACTTGTTATAGATCAGGAAAGAAAACAGCCACATTTAATAACTGTCTAAAACTAAAGGGATTCTGAGGGAGAGACTAGGATGTTCACCTGTAACATATACTTTTGTAACTCAAATGTCTGTTAAGTTAAATTTCTGATTTTTTGGCTATATTCTAAGGCAACCAAGGCTTCTTCCTGGACAGCTGACCTCTACTTAATTGAGAGTTTAATGTTCTTCCCTAAGTATTTTGGGATAGGGCTTTCCAAATATTTTAGGTGCTACCTAGAAGTTTCATAAACAAAATTCACCCTTAGTACATACTACGAACTTACACATATATGACACACACACACAGAGTTGACTTCTGAACTAAATGGCATGGGTACACTTATACATGACTTTTTTTTCAACCAAATGCATGGAGAGAAAATACAGTATTTATAGGATGCAAAACTTGCATATACAGACAGCCAACTTTTCATACATACAGGTTCTGCAGGACTGTCTACAGGACTTGTATATACATGGATTTTGGTATACTGGCACAAGTTGGGGGTGTCCTAGAACCAATCCCCCACATATACCAAGGGATGACTGTAATAGTTTAAATAAATATAAATATATTTATATATACTTAAATGGCAATTATGACCCACTAATTTCATGATGCATTAATAGGTTTAAAAAACACACTTATGGGCCAGGCATGGTGGCTCATGCCTATAATCCCAGCACTTTGGGAGGCTGAGGTGGGCAAATCACCTGAGGTCAGGAGTTTGAGACCAGCCTGGCCAACATGGTGAAACCTCATCTCTACTAAAAATACAAAAATTAGCTGGGCATGGTGGCGCGCACCTGTAATCCCAGCCACTCAGGAGGCTGAGGCAGGAGAAGTGCTTGAACGTGGGAGGCAGAGGTTGCAGTGAGCCGAGATTGTGCCACTGCACTCCAGCCTGGGCGATGAGGCAAAACTGTCTCAAAACAAAACAAAACAAAACAAAACAAAACAAAACAATAACATACTTACAGGATGGCAAAAGACATACCTTGACTATAAGTAGGTTATAATCTATTTAGAAGACAAAAGTATCTGTTGTTTGTATATTAAAATAGGGCAAACCGGAAATAAGGCCACACACCTATGACAATCTGATCTTCGACAAAGCTGACAAAACCAAGCAAAAGGGAAGACTCCCTATTCAATAAATGGTGCTGGGGTAACTGGCTAGCCATATGCAGAAGACTGAAGCTGGACCCTTACACCACATACAAAAATTAACTCACGATGGATTAAAGACTTACATGTAAAACTCAAAACTATAAAAACCCTGGAAGGCAACCGAGGCAATACCATCCTGGACATAGGAACGGTAAAAGATTTCATGACAAAGACACCAAAGCAATCATAACAGAAGCAAAAATTGACAGGTGGGATCTAATTAAGGTAAAGAGCTTCTGCACAGCAAAAGAAAATGTCAACAGTAAACAGACATCCTACAGAATGGGAGAAAATATTTGCAAACTGTGCATCTGACAAAAGCCTAATATCCAGCATCTGTAAGAAACTTAAACAAATTTACAAGAGAAAATTGTTAAAAAGTGGGCAAAGGACATGAACAGACACTTTTCAAAAGACATACATGCCACCAACAAGCATATGAAAAAAAGCTCAACATCACCAATCGTTAAGAGAAATGCAAATCAAAACCGCAATGAGATACTATCCCACACCAGTCAGAATGACTATTATTAAAAAGTCAACAAATAATAGATGCTGGCAAAATTGCGGAGAAATGGGAAAACTTACTTATACACTGTTGGTGGGAGTGTAAATTAATTCAATTGTTGTGGAAAGTGATTCCTCAAAGGGCTAAAAGCGAACTATGATTTTATCCAGCAATCCCATTACTGGTTATATACCCAGAGGAATATAAATTATTCTACCATAAAGACACATGCATGCAAATTTTAACTGCAGCACTATTCACAATAGTCAAGACATGGAACACCCTAAATCTCCATCAATGACACACTGAATAAAGAAAATGCAGTACATACACACCATGGAATACTATGTAGCCATAAAAAAGAATGAGATCATGTCTTTTGCAGCAACATGGATAGAGCTGAAGGCTATTATCCTCAGCAAACTAACAGGAACAGAAAACCAAATACTGCATGTTCTCAATTATAAGTGGGAGCTAAATGATGAAAACCTGGCTGGGCACGGTGGCTGATGCCTGTAATCCCAGCACTTTGGGAGGCCGAGGGAGGCAGATGACCTGAGGTCAGGAGTTTGAGGCCAGCCTGGCCAATACGGTGAAACCCCATCTCTACTAAAAATACACAAATTAGCCAGGCTCAGTGGTGTGTGCCTATAATCCCAGCTACTCGGGAGGCTGAGGCAGGAGAATCACTTGAACCTGGGAGGTGAAGGTTGCAGTGAGCCAAGATTACACCACTACATTCTACACTCCAGTATGGGCAACAGAGCGAAACTCTGTCTCAAAAAATAAAAAAAAAAAGATGAGAACTTATACACAAGGAAGAAAACAACAGACACTGGGGTCTACTCGAGGGTGGAGGTTGGGATGAAATAATCTGTACAACAAACCCCCACGACAGGAGTTTACCTATGTAACAAACCTTCACATGTACCCCTGAACCTAAAATTACAAGATTTTTAAAAAAAGGAAAAAACAGTAAGACAATGACTCAACAGTATAGCAGTGCTACAGCACACTAGAATGTTGAAAGCTCTTTCCAAGTGTGTCATCCAATTTTAATTGTTTAAAAATTTTTTTTTACATTAGGATTCTCAAATGAGCACCAAGGATGCTAACTGTGTTGCATATGTGGTACATATATAACAAAGCACTTAATGTCCCTATGTAATTTTATTTTAAATGGGGTTAAAAAAACAACCAACTTATGTTCTGCTGAGTTTGATTTTTAAATGGAAATCTCAATGGTATCTGAATATCTACAGCTACTAGAACAATGTCATGAACATGAAGCAGAATGGTACGTGGATTTGTTGATTTATTTTTTAAAGTTTTTATAAGAAAGAGTAGGCATATCCAAACCAAGTTCATGAGTTAGAATGGTAAGGAAGGAGACAATTTCTCCTTTAAATCTCTTTTCGTCTCTGAAAATAAAAAAATTTTCTTATGATCATAAAAAAAGACACATTCTTTTTAAAAAAACAATACAAAAAGTATAAAGAAGTAAAAGTTACTGTTAATGTCTTTATGTATACATACCTAGATATAATTTTCAAAATTGTATACTGAATCTATTTTTCACTTAATGGTAATTAATGTTTCACATATTTTTACACGCCCTTAAGTATCAACCTACAGCAACATTTTAAATGTGTACACAGTATATATCACAGTATAGTTAAATGAAAACCAACTCAAATCGAAGGACATCTTGATAATTTCAAATTTTTAGATAACAGTACCACAATGTGTATATGCACGCATGTGCACCCTTACACATATACATATTTATGTCATTTTGTAATTCCTAGGAATAACATGCCAAGGTAAACTTACTTATATTTTATAAGAAATTAAAGACAAATTTAGGATTTCAGCTGCACATAATTGTGCAATTCATATTTACACAATTTACAATTCATATTCCCAAACTGTCCTTGCGAAAGTTCAAAGCAATTTTCATTTATACTCTCATCAACACGATATTTTAAATTAACAAACCAATATACAATAACTTAGTTATGGAATGATTATAGGGAGTCACTTGGGTGGCCTAAAATTCTGCCTGGGAAAAATATAGTCCTAGAGATCTACAGTGCTAAATGTTTTTCTGTTAAGACTTTTAGCTACTCCCACTGTTGTTACTTTTGATTCTCTCACAGCAGGTAACCTATAGAGGGAGTTGGTTTACTAAACTGCAGTGAATATAAACCAAAAATTAGAAACAGAGGAAATATAAATAAAGAGCAACTGTGCCAGCATTTTCTATCTATGACCAAGATCACACTAAATATATCACTATTATAACAAGGAAAGTTAAGGATATTAAGACTTAATTTCAAAGGATTTGTGAAAATAAATTACTTTAAAGACCCCAAACACTGAAAATTGTAAAAAACACAGCTTTGGGAAAGTTTTGGACATAAAGAATCCAGGGAGAACTGAAAAAGGATCCAACATCAGTAAAGAGAAAATTAGAGAAATATCTGATGTAGCTAAGACTAGAGAAAGATATAGACAATTAGAAATTCATGAGGCACCCTATCTAACCAAACCAAGGGTTTTAAAAAAATTTAAGTCTAGTTTGGTCTGTCATCGTCTAATTGTTAACCATCTAATTGTTTCTCCATCATTATGGAGGGAAAGACAACAGTTTTGACCACAAATCTGGTACTGCATTTTTCTAGTTACTTACTTTTCCTGGTAGGTGACTGGTCACATTTTCTCCTTTCTTCCCAAATCTAATGCCTTCCTCCTCAACTCTCAGTTAATAACTTTGAGAAAACAGAAGCAATGCAATAAAAACTCATTTTCCTGCTGAGTGTGGTGGTGCATGTCTGTAGTTCTAGCTACTCAGGGAGGCTGACTGGACGACTGCTTGAGCCCAGAAGTTCAAGGCCAATCTGGGCAACACAGTGAGACCCCATCTTTTTTTCTGAGACGGAATCTCGCTCTGTCACCCAGGCTGGAGTGCAGTGGTGCAATCTCGGCTCACTGCAAGCTCCGCCTCCTGGGTTTACACCATTCTCCTGCCTCAGCCTCCCGAGTAGCTGGGACTACAGGTGCCTGCCACCATGCCCGGCTAATTTTTTTTTATTTTTTTAGTAGAGATGGGGTTTCACCGTGTTAGCCAGGGTGGTCTCAATCTCCTGACCTCGTGGTCCGTCCTCCACAGCCTCCCCAAGTGCTGGGATTACAGGCATGAGTCACTGTGCCCAGCCGAGACCCCATCTTTTTAAAAGACAAAACTCATTTTCCTACTACCAAATCTGTTAACCTATTTTATCTGTACTTCTGGCCTTTCTTCCTGTTTCAATGGATGAACTGTCCCAATACCTTAAGGTCATACTTCCTTCCACAGTAGTGTTGGATGTCATCCTCCTGCAATTATCATTTCTCTTATACATCGCCAATTTTCTTTTCTCTCTTGGATCATTGCCATAAACATGCGAACACGCTGGGACATCTGCCATCTCAACAAACACCCTCCCCTCAATGCATGTTCCTTTCTACCTACAGACCCTTCTCTGCTCTACTTCATAGCAAAACTCCATGGAAGAGCCCACAATCATTTTCTCTGCTTCTTCACCTTTAGTCTCTCTTAATCCCACTCCAGCCAGGTTTACCTCTCCACCACTCTACTATAACTGCTTTTGTCATGGTCATCAATGACCTTCATCTTGCAAAATCCAATGGTCAATTCTCTGTCCTCATCTTACCTGATCTCCCAGCAGCATTTGACATAGTGGACTACTCCCTCCTTGAAATACTTTCTACACTTGGCTTCCAGGCCATCACAATCTCCTGGTTTTCCTCCTGCCTCACTGGCCGCTCCTGATCAATAAATATTTATTGAATAAATATTAAATATAATGATTATAAAGATCTAATACTTAAGATAACTGTGTTAAAAACATCACTTTTTATATGGGAAAATAAATGGAAACGTATATACCATTAATATAAGAATCTTATATTAATATAATATAATCTTACATTAATATAAGAAAATAAACGGAGGCTCTATATACCATTAATATAACAGAACACTAAAACAAAATTTTATTGGTAGGTAAATAGGTTTTTTTTTTTATTTAACTTGGAGGATATACACAAAACTGCTAACTGTAGTTATTTTGTGGGATTAGGGGAAGCGAAGTACTATGTTTTTCACTTTCTGGTATTTATGTACTTATATACTGTTTGAATGTTTTATAACAAACATATATTACTATCATACTAAACAATATACCTTACTTATAGGCAAAGTACCTAAAGAAATGAGCAACTGTTTAAGTACTGGAATTATAAATCTAAATATATAATGTTACAGCAAAGGTCACAAAATGCAAAATGACATGAAGAGAGAAAAGATAAATGTGCGCTGGAATTACCAGGAAGATTTAATCTAGGAGTTGACGCAGAACTATGGGAAATGAAGAAAACCATGAAAAAGAAAAGATAAGAAGTTACCTGAAATCTCTTATATAAACCATAGTGAAATACCATTAAGTAATGCTTTAAAACCAGTGAAGAGATTAAAAAGGTATATGCTTCTCAACACAAAGAAAAGATAAATGTTTGGATTTATAAATGATGGATATTTTAATTACCCTGATTTGATCATTACAAATTATATATATGCATCAAAATATCACATGTACCCCCAGAATATGTACAACCATCAGAAAACAAAAAACCAAAAAGGTATAGGAGGAGAAATTATCAACACAGTACCTATAAAACTCTCTTGCTTAGCAAAAAGTGAATATTTATAAATAAGTATAATATCTAGCTTGAATGGTAAAATCACATTATGAAAGAGTAAGCCTTATATACAAATGTTCATCAAAATATATGAAAAAACAATTATAACCCCAAAATGTAAACAATAGAAATGTCCAATAGCTGGAGAATGTCAGAGTTAAGTAGGGTAGGACTACCTGATATCATGCAGCTATTAAAACTTGTCTATAAAGAGTTCAAAATAACGTTACAGATAAAAGGCATACATAATAAAGTAATAAAAGGCTGGTTGGAAATTTATTTACAAAAGATCATAACTATGTAAACACTAATAAATCTAAGTGCACACACACACACACACAGGAAGGAAATACTCTAAATGTTAACAGTAATTATTTATATATAATGTATGGGAATAATAAATTTTTCCTCTTTAAATTTTTTTAGAAGAGCAGCCCTCTGAAGGTCAATTAGAAGAGCAGCCCACTCTGAAGGTCAATTATTTTTAAATCTTTTATTGGTAGTATTATTGTAATAGTGTGTATAGAGGAAAATCTATAATTTTTTATAAAGGAATCTGGGCTGGGCACAGTGGCTCATGTCTGTAATCCCAGCACTTTGGGAGGCCGAGGTGGGTGGATCACGAGATCAGGAGTTCGAGATTAGCCTGGCCAACACGGTGAAATCCCACCTCTACTAAAAATATAAAAATTAGCCGGGTATGGTGGTGGACACCTGTAATCCCAGCTACTTGGGAGGCTGAGGCAGGAGAATGGGTCGAACCTGGGAGGCGGAGGTTGCAGTGAGCCAAGATCTCGCACCACTGCACTGTAGCCTGAGCGACAGAGCAAGACCCCATCTCAAAAAAAAAAAGGAATCTGTAAAACTAGGCTGGGCATGGTGGCTCATGCCTGTAATCCCAGCACTTTGGGAGGCCAAGGCGGGTAGATCACTTGAGGCCAGGGGTTCGAGATCAGCCTGGCCAACAAAGCAAAATCCCGTCTCTACTAAAAATACAAAATAGTAGCTGGGTGTGGTGGCACATGCCTGTAATCCCAGCTACTCAGTAGGAGGCTGAGGCATGAGAATTGCTTGAACCTGGAAGGCAAGGTTGCAGTGAGCCGAGATTGTGCCGCTGTGCTGCATGCAGCCTGGGTGACAAAGCAAGACTCAGTCTCCAAAACAAAAAAAGGAATCTGTAAAACTAGTGGTAAAAACAGTAAAAATTAAGAATTCAGTATTAAATTTATAAGACATTACTAGAAAATCATTGTTATTTGCTGCACACTAAGAGAATTATATCTATCCATTTTAATCACAAATCCTAAAAAATTATTTATCAAAATCTGTTTCCTGGACAACCTAATTGGCATCAACTGCAGTGCTTATGAAAAACGCAGATTTTTTTGTGCTTTGCCTAAGACCAATGGCGATCAATCCAGAACTGTTCTAGATTTTCCAGGATCGTCAGATATTAAACTACTGAAGTATACTAGAAATTCCAATATTTCAGGATTCAAATTTTATCCACCCAGAGTGTCTGGGAGATGCAAAAAACTTGTCATACTATGTGTCTTCATTTTGTTGGTGAAAATATTGCTGTTGTGATAATTGGCAAATACTACCTAGAAGTTTTTGAAGAACAAAAATGGGCTAATAATGGGAGTCCATTTTTTCATTAGTCCATTTTTTCTTTTTTTAAATGGGAGTATGAGTACTAATAGCCTTAATAAGTAAAATGCAACAAAAGAATAATATGGTTTAACATCTAAAGAGTAATTAACATGCAATCAACAAGATGTCCTGACAAGAAAGTCACTTTTAAAAAATAAAAAAATAATTCACTTACGTTCTGAGGATGGAAGAATGAGGCAGCTTAAGAATCTTTCTTACATAATCATAGACTTTGCTACTGCACAAGTAGAGTGTACATGCAAATTGTTTCATTTCTGCGGAGTACTCATCTGTTTCTCTCCAATTATATAACTCCCACTTAAAATCTGTTAAAATAAATTTTTTTATTCTTTGTGATGAATAGTAAAATTTTCAGGTACAGATTATAGCATTTGGATATAAAATGCACTGGGCATCAGAATTCAAATACAAATATAGTTGCATTTTGATTAAGTCTATTCAGAGGTTAATATCCACTTAGGACCCCTTGACCAATTTATTCGGTTCATCTGGAATCATTTCACTAGAGGGAAGAAAAAATTTTCAACTTGAATTATGTTTTACTGTTCAGTGGCAGCCTGAGAGGAGAGATTTTTAGAGGAACTGAAAAGAAAATAAAATGAGGACATTTATTTTATTTTGTTCCCTGCTTACTATTTATCTGAGGGTGAAAATTAGATATGAAAAACATTTCTGGGGATAGGGTACTATTCAGACTGAACAGACCATCTTGCCTAATATCAAGAGAAAAAAAAAAAATTCTGTTCCTGGTGGGGATTCCTATTTATGACCTCTAGTCCCCTCTTGGAAAAACATAAAATATTCATCTCCTTTGGAGATAGCTACTCTTTTCTAAAAAGAGGACACATTTCTCTTTTCCTAGAATGTAAATCCAAATCTCTGCTGCTTTCATCAAAGAACAAGTTGGCAATTTTTATTTTGCCCTTCTTCAAAGATCTTAGTTCACTCTAAAGAGGACTAGGTAGCCTTTCCATGGGTTTATAGTCTACTCTATAGAATATTTTAGAAAAAAATGTGGAGATACACAATTTCCAAGCTCAAAGAAATTCTGCAAACTAGTACAACTCTACTGCAAAAAGACTTTGGTAAAATTATGTAGCAGTTAAAACTGTTTATAATGAATTTGCAGTAGCAAATGGGTAAGAGCTACTACAAAAAGTGATAAGTGCAGAACAGAAAATGGTATAAACCATATGGTTTCATCTCTGGGTAGTGGGATTAACATTATTTTAATTACTTAAATATTTCTTTGCTTTTCCTATAATAAATGTTACTTTTATAACTGGAAAACCATAAGATACAAAAGAATTTTGGTGATTAATTTTCATTCTTCTTAAGCTACTGAGACTTTCACTTCCCAACTGAAAGCATGTTTTCATAGGCAAGAACAAAATAAATACTTAATGGTACCTCAGAAAAATAGCTATTTTTGTAAATACTACAGGTTACTAGGGGGAAGTACCTGAAAATTGAGCTCGTAGCAGACACTCTGTTTCTTCAGAAAGTAGTTTCTCTTCTACAAGTGCATCAATTAATCGTAAACCCTTTCTCTTCTTGATCATCCTGTAGTTCTTTACGGAGATAAGTCTTTTTTTGGACACTTGTAACATTTGTTGCACCTCAGCCAGTTTCTCTGCACCTATCGTCAAAGGTGTCTTTAAACTATAGTTATGGTCCTCAGTAGCAACTTCTTGAGAATTGTCTGGAAGAGGTTGTTTTAGGATTTTTTGTCTTGCTTTACCTTTAAGATGTACACCTTGAGGAATCTATGACAGATATATAAAATTAAAGTTATTTTAGAAATAATCACATAGAAGAGTATCTGTAAAAATACCCTAAATACAAAGCACTAATCTGGTTGCTGTGGAGAGTTAGTTAGGAAAGAAAAGGTCATAATCTCTGAATGTTTTAATGTATAGTTTATAGGGTAATATAAACAGGCTTTTTTTTTTTGCACTACACAGAAATATTAATATGATGTTGAAAGTTTCTGAAATAAAGTAACTAGAGAAAGGTGGTAGTAAACTGGGATGGCTTCATGGAAGTGAGTTTTAAGCAGTTCTTAGAAGGTACAATAACATGGTTAATGAAGGTGACAGAGAAGTTATTTGTGCAAAAAAGAAGGCATAGTGGACAGTGCATGGCTTTGGAATTAAGACTGACCTGGGTTTGAATCTTAGCTCCCTCAATTAGCTGTCACATAAGCTCTACAATCCCTTGTGTCCTCATCTGTAAAATGTGGATAATAATACAGGATTCTTTTGAAGATACAATATAAGAATTTATGTAAATCTCCTAGTACAATGCCTGGACCATTGTAGCTCTCAACACATGGCAGCCATTATTGATTTTACACAAAAGTATGAAAGCAAGCAAATTTATCACATATATAGTAAGTATATATGGTTTGAAAAGATAATTCAGGACAGTTAAAAATGTACAAATCAGTTAATAGGAAGCTCTTGGGACTTGGTGAGTTTGAATTTGACACCAACTAAATACTTCCGAATAGGGGAATGAGATAAACCAATACTGGAAGAAGGAGACTGACGATTAAGAGGAAAGTAAGGCTAGTGTCAGAATAGAACAGTTAGGTGACTATCACAGACTGTGCAGAAAGTGAAAGCCCATGTGTCAGAGTTGTGGTTAAGGGGTAAAAGGATAAAATAAAAACAGTCATAGGAAACAGAAGAATATCATACCAATACTGGTGACTCACTCATAGAAAGTTTCATTATTTCCCACATACTTCCTGTATCAATGTTAATAATTAGGTATATTTTTGATCAAGATAAATAACATTATTAGGAGGAACCAAAAAACATAGATAATTTCAAAGTACTATGAAAGCTGTCTCATACTTAACAAAAGCCTGTATTCTAAGGCTATTTATATCTACCAGTTGATTTTTGCAATTGGTTAGTAACCTTTATATATATCTAGACAAATGATTTGCATTTATATAGTTTTTTAAAAGCTCCAGAACAAATGCTAATATATATAATTTTTTTTTTAAATTTTCAAAGCATTTAAAATCTATTACTGGATTTAAGACTTGGGTTTTTTTGTCTGCAAATTCTAGCTATAATGGGGGCTATCTTGATTTTTAAAGGCTCTGTAAATTTTCATTTTGTTGACTTACACCTACATTTAAATACCTTGTATAGAGAAACAGAAGGCACAGCTCCTTTTTTCAGCTTTCTTCTTATGCCATATGACTCAAAGTCACTTTCTTGAAAATGTTTGGAACACAGTATAGCACCTGGTCCTGGAATCCAAATCTTTTTGCTTCTGGGGTCCACACGATTAACAGCCCTGATCCATTTTGAGCGCTGTATGGTATCAGTTGGAAATCTATGACAATCACATTAAAGTTCCATTAACATGAAAACATTATAGTACTATTACAGTAGTATTTATTATATAAACCCATCTATTATTTTACTGCTTTATAGAAACATAAAGCCAAGTGAATTAAAAGTTTAATTTACTTAGTTCATTTTTCAAAGTTCTTTGATTTTTTTTAATCCAAAGGTTCAATATCTGATTTTTCTTTGTCAATCATAGAGGGGCAATTCCCATATTAAAAATCCTACTATATTTTGTCTTCACTTCCTACACTTAATAGAATTTGCTCAAATTTAAATGGTTAAAGAATATATGCATCTTTTCCTTTCCTGTAGTGATTTTAAACTATTTGGTACTCTTCCTTTTAAGAAGTGAAGCCTGGCTGGGTGCAGTGGCTCATGCCTGTAATCCCAGCACTTTGGGAGGCTGAGGCGGGAGGATCAGCAGTCAGGAGTTCAAGACCAGCCTGGACAACATGGTGAAACCCCGTCTCTACTAAACATATAAAAAATTAGCCGGACGTGGTGGCGGGTGCCTGTAATCCCAGCTACTGGGGAGGCTGAGGCAGGAGAATCTCTTGAATCCGGAGGTGGAGGCTGCAGTGAGCCGAGATCGCACCATTACACTCCAGCCTGGGCAACAAGAGTGAAACTCCGTAACAAAAAAAAAAAAAAAAAAAAAAAGGGGGAGCCTAATTCCCCTCCCCTTGAGTGAGTATGGGCTAGAGTTAGTGATTTGCTAAGGAATGGAAAAAGAACATGTGACAGTAAGTGACCACAGACTACGTCATAAAGGAACAAGCTTTCCTCCTTGCTCTCTGTAGAGAATGGTTTGCTCTGTGGTAAGGTATCTGGCATGTTATAAAGCAGTCCTGTGGAGAAAACTAGTTGGTGAGGAACTGAGGCCTCCAGTCAAAGGCCATGTTGAGTTAGTCTTTTTGAAAGCAGGTGACTTCAGCCTTCAGATGAGTGCAATCTTATGAGATACTGTAACATCGAGCTACACTCCTGAATTCCTGACCCTCAGAAATGTGTGAGATAAAAATGTTTATACTGAATTTTGAGGTAACTTGTTATGCAGCAGTAGAAAACAAGACAAGTATATTTACTATATTGTTTTTTCATGTTTAAAGGCACTACTTTTTCCTAGCCTTGATTATAAAAATTACCTTGCATTTATTTATTTTTCAATCCAAGCCAAATTATGTTTAGAAACTTGTCGGCCAGGCGTGGTGGCTCACGCCTGTAATCCCAACACTTTGGGAGGCCGAGGCGGGCGGATCACTTGAGGTCAGGAGTTCAAGACCAGCCTGGACAACATGGTGAAACCCTGTCTCTAATAAAAATACAAAAATTAGCCGGGCCTGGTGGCTCCCACCTGTAATCCCAGCTACTAGGGAGGCTGAGGCAGGAGAATCGCTTGAACCTGGGAGGCAAAGTTGCAGTGAGCCAAGATAGTGCCACTGCACTCCAGCCTGGGCGACAGCAAGATTTCATCTCAAAAAAGAAAAGAAAAAGAAACTTGTGAAATTAACACAATAAAAAGCACAAAACTACTCTTTCTGCCCCTTCTTCTTTGACGTTATCTTAGAGACAGACTTATAGGTAACTATGCTTTTTGTGTATTTTAATTTAGACTTTAAAACACATAGTTACTAGAACTGAGATTGGTATAAATTTTATTTCTCAGCTAAATGCTACAAAAATATAGCAGCATGGTAAAACATAATTCTGATATGCTCTCTAAATCACCTTGAGAAAGAACTCTGAATTGGAAAACCTGTATTTAAGCTTCAGTGACCTTCTACCAGCTATATGGTATTAGACACATCTCTCAATCTTAGAACTTCCTCACAGGGCTGTAGTAAGAGTGTATGAGGCTACAAATGTATTCAAAATCACTTTGTAAACTGTAAAGTACTATCCAAAGTTCGATCTTTCCTAAGAACAACTAATTCCATTTCTGGGATTATAATTTTATTGTTCTAAGAAGATGATGATACTTGATCAAGGGCAAATGAACAGGGAATTCTTTTTCCAATAAAGTTGGGGCAAATCTATCTTTTTTCACTGAGTTCTTTTCTAACTCATGGAACATATTTTGCAAGGGAGCTTTTCCACAGATTGGGTATAGTCTCTAAACGTGCAAGGAACCCTCAAAAGTTGGCTGGTCCAACAACTTCTATTACTAGCGTGGTCCTCTGATGCAAAGCTTCCCAACAGGTATGCCTAGTGAGTACAGCTGTTGATATTCTTAGTCCATGGGGTGGGCTGGGACACCTGAGTAGTTACTTGAAGGCAGCCCCAAACAGTGCTGTAGGTTTGCCCCAAAGTATTGAACAATTATTTCCTATGCGTAAAATGCTATGAAAAAGGCTGGGGCTGGGCAGGGTGGCTCATGCCTGTAATCCCAGCCAAGAAGTTGGAGACCAACCTGGGCAACACACTGAGACCTCATCTCTACCAAAAAAAAAAAAAAGCCGGGATGGTGGTCTGTGCCTGTAGTCCCATGAGGCTGAGGTGGGAGGATCACTTGAGCCTGGGAGATAGAGGCTGCGCTGAGCTGTGATAGTGCCACTGCTCTCCAGCCTGGGCGACAAAGTGAGACCCCGTCTCCAAAAAAAAAAAAAAAAAAAAGAAGGAAAATGTTGGGAAATATTGTAATCTAACTAGCATAACTAGTTTTGAGTTCTGGAAAAAATTAATTTGGTAATAATACCATTTTTAAAGCATTTACCTTGTGCGTTACATATGCTATAAAGTCTTACGTTTTAGTTTTACAAAATTCTACAAGGCAGGTTTTTATTCCTCTTACAGAAGAAGAAACCAAGACCCAGAGCCAAGTACAGACATCAGTAAATACTCAATTAAAATTGGAATTCATGTCTCCCTAGTTTAAAACTACCTCTATCACAAGAAAAATCCCAAATCAATTATGGTCTCACATACACAATGAGTTGGTTCACACTGCTAACAATTTAGGTGGAGGAATCAGCCCTATTTAAAAAATAGAAAACAAAAAAAAAAAAAAATCAATGAATTTTATACATAGCCTACCATACATACTCTAAACTCCTTAACCTGGCATTTACATTTTTAAAATGGTTTCTCAGGTACTTTTCCACTCCTCTATATTTGCACTTTCTATCCTTTACATTTTCCCATGCCATTCCTAACTACCCTCTTCCTACCCCCCCTTTCCAACCATAAAGTTCTTTTTGATCTTTCCATAAATCTGCTCCTTTTGTCTGTGAGGATCTATTTTACCCACTTTTCTACTTGCTAGTGTACCCTGAATACTGAATGACCTATACCAGTCTGAACCATGGATATGAGTTCAGATAAGACTGATCTGAAATTCTTCCCCACTGTCGAGCCAAATGAAACTTCCCTGCCATGATCAAATCCAGCCAGAATCGGACCGGCCTTGCACAGCTCGGCTAACAGCACTTAAGAACTTGCAATGTCAGGCAGTACAGGAGAAAACTGATCTGTACTCGTGCTCAGGAAGACGCCACACACACACTTCAACCGTTGTCCTAAACTGCCTTCCCTTTCGGCCTCCTCACTTCAAATAATAAGACCATCCAATTAATGGAGGACTCCTTTCGCGTAACTCTCCTTAAAGCGGTAGGCGGTGCGAGAACCGGCTATTCAGAGGTAAACACTGGGCGGGAAGAGAGAGAATCTCAATTCTCACAGTGCCCCAATTCCGCTCCCACGCCCCGACGCTGCGCACGTCACGTCGCGTCACACACGCGGCGCGACCCACAGTGCGGCCCGGCCCCGCCCCACGCCACGCCACGGCCCGCCGGGCCCCGCAGGGAGTTCGAAGGCTTCGAGGCTGCTCCCATACGCACTGGTGGAAGGAGAGGCCGCGCTCCCGGCTGAGCACGGTGTCACGGGTGCTGCAGCCCACTGCGGAGCAACTTCGGGTCATCTTCTTGTTACGTGGGGCCCCACCTTCGGGGTTCCCGCGACAGCATGAATCACGACCACTTTAGCTCCGCCCGTTGACTCTGCGGCTACGACCTTTATTTGTCACGAAAGGCGGGCTTTAGAGGCGCGGGACTTCCACACTTCCTCTCCGAAGGCCCTGCGCCGGTGCCGTAGCCAATGACAGGCCACGTTGTGTCCCAGCAGCCAATCGGAAGGGCCTGAGCCTGAAGACGTGCATTTGACCGCTCCTCCCTCCGCGTTGGAGGCGGAATAGTGGGTTTTGCTGCAACCGGTTTATTTTCCTTCTGTTTTCACCCATTCTGGCACAATCTGGCGCCATCGTCCTTCTTGTGAGGCCAAGCCTGAAAATGCGAAGCAGAGAGGCAGGACCAAAATTGAGGCGAATCCAGGAACCTGCCAATGGGTCTCCGGGTGCGGTCTCTGAAACTGGAGGATATCGGGAGGAAAGGGTATGGAAGAGGGATAAAACACGGTGCCTTAGGTGTGTTGAAGACAGAGTCGGGCCAAAAATATATGATTTACTGAGATGCGTGTCGTGTTCTTGCGCTTTATCTTGTAGCTCTCCGATGCGGAGATAATGGGGAAGCTCTTGGCATGGTTGGCTGTAGGTATGTGATACCGGAGGAGCAGGAGTCAAATAGGATACGCCGACTTTTAATTCAAGGAACCCTTTTCTGAAACACTTTGCCACAATGAAGGAAATAAGGTAAGGTTCTTGGGGCTCCTCAGTAGTAATAGGGGCAGGGGACAAGGGGCAATTAAGTGGTTTTGGTTGGGAATGAGGCATTATGAATAGCTTTCAGGAGATAGAGCTTAGAACAATGTCTTAGTTATAAGCTCTTATGTTTGAGGAAGAGATTTCAATTTGCTTAGAGAAGGAAACGGGCCAGTGGGTTTTTGTCTCTGAGAAGGAGATCCTTAGCATACAGAAAACAGAGAAGGGTTTGCAACTTTTCCGTTTCTTTGTATAGCACACAAAAATAATTCCAAATATCCAGGCCTAACAAGATTGCTTCTTTTTCCCCTTTGTGTTTACTTTGTCCAGATTACAGCCGAAGATACATATTAAGGTATTACTTATTCACACCAGTTTTCCATTATAATATGCTTGTATCTTCTCTGAATGGAATTAATAGCTTTTGGTTATGGTTCCTTAAAAGTCACATGGCCTAAGGATAGATGGTCAAGGAACTTTGGAAAAATTGGTCCCTGGGGGATGTGCAGGGCAAATACTTTTTGGCTGTAAGGTGTGTGCAGAGAGTAAGAACTGGATTTAAATACTGTAAGTTGGTTGGGCTGTTAGAGCCTTTTCCTGCTCAACCAATTAAGACCCGAGTGAGGCTGAATAAAAATAACATTGTTTTTAGCTATCTTTAAGGAAAAAATTAGTTGCCTTATATTTTTGTAACAGTTTTACTCAGATATAATTCTCATACCACACAACTAATTGGTTTAAAGTGTACAATTCAGTGGGTTTTAGTATATGCACAGAATTGTGGAACAGTCACAATCAATATTAGAACATTTTCATCACTCCAGAAAGAAACCTCATTCTTACTAGCAGCACCTCCAAATATTCCCCCACCCCGCTCAGCAAACACTAATTTAGTTTCCGTGTGCCTCTGCCTGCTCTGTACACTTCATGTAAGTGGAATTATGAACTAATATATGGTCTTTGTGACTGGCTTCTTTCACTTGGAATGTTTTCAGAGTTCATCCATCTTATAGCACGTATCAGTACTTTATTTTTTATTGCTGAATCGTACTCCATTTTATGGATGTAGCAGATTTTGTTTATCCGTTCAACAGTTGGTGGACATTTGGGTTTTCCAATTTTTTTTTTTACTATTATGAACATTTGTGTACAAGTTTTTGTGTGGACAAATGTTTTCATTTTCCTGATTACACACCTAAGAGTGGAATTGGTGAGTCATAAGATAACTGTGTTTAGCTTCTTGAGGAAGTGCCAGATTATTTTCCCTAGTGGCTGCACCATTTTACATTCCCACCAGCAGTGGATGAGGCTGCCAGTTTCTCCACATTTTTGTGCATGTGAAGTGGCTGTCTCATCGTGGTGTTTGCCTTTTCTTAAGGACTCAAAAGTTTGCAGATACAGGCATTCACTTGCCATTTTCTTAAGGTAGAGTTGAAAGTACTGCTGCCAGTTCATCATCTGAAATGAGGGCTGTTTTCTTTCCTGTTTAATTGGATTGCAACTATTTGCCTTTCCTAAAGATGAAATAGTGTGCTTCCTACATTATTCTGACAACATTCCTTTAATTGTTAATTTCAGATGAATTTCTGAAAACTGCTTTTATCAGAACAGATTTACTTAAATGAAGGCAATAGCCGCAAGGGGTCACTGCTCTAGATATTTACTTCTGCATAGGAAATAAGTAATCCTTTATAGATGGAATTTTTTTTTCTTAGTTGTATTTTTGTATCTTTACATTTGTTTATAACTTATCTATACTTTTTTTGTTGTTGTGATTATTTTACTGTTGACATGGAAGTTCTCAATCTGATCATTTGGTTATATCATTGCTTCTTCTAGTAACTTCATATCCAGTGATTAAACCTTTTCACTGCTGTTCACATAATGAACCGTTGTGATTATTGAATACTTAAATGAGGATATGTAAGCTGTATTAAAGATAGTGTTATTTGCAAAGGCATTGACTATTGCACAAAAAATTTTAAAAGAAAATATCTCTTTTCAGGAATTGTACTCTCAGAGATGTTGAGAAAAGATACATGGGTCTTGGAAGATAATTACTCAAAATATGCAGGGAAGGTAGTATATCTTTCTATTTTAAATGTATTAAGTATTCCTGGAACTATAGCAGTGAGTTGGAAATGGAGGATTGTCCAAGTAAAAAACATTTATTAAGGCTTTAATGAAATCTACCTATTTTATGGTATATAATCTCATTAATTGTCCACTTGGAAAGAATAATAACAGATATTTATTTATTGGCCAGTTACTATGGGCCACAAATTATGCTGAGCTTTTTTTAATTTCATTTCATTTTATTTTATTTTTTGAGATGGGGTCTCACTCTGTCACCCAGGCTGGAGTGCAGTGGCGCAATCTCAGCTTATTGCAACCTCTGTCTTCCAGGCCCAAGCAATCTTCCCACCTCAGCTTCCTAAGTAGCTGGGACCACATGCATGTACCACTACACCTGGCTAATTTTTTTTTGTATATTTGGTAGAGACAGGGTTTTACCATGTTGCCCAGGCTGCTAAGCTTTTTATATACAGTATATAGAAAGAGTTGGTTTTCTTAAACAATATTTATTTCTCATAATAACTCTATGAAAGCAGGTATAGACTTCTTGCTTTCTAGGGTTGGTATCTTGCTTGTTGAGGACCTACCCTTTTGTGTTGCCGAATTTTTCATTGTTTGAGTTCTGTCTTTTGTTTCAGAAAGCCATGGAGTTTTGAAATTATTGTTATATCATTATTTGTTACATAATTATTTCTACTTCTAGAATCTCATGCTAACTTGGAAGTGTCTTCTCAGCATCAAGCCTGATATGGAGGGGCAGCTACACCCTAATACGCTCCAAAACTAGTTATGCTTTGTTTTATACGTAATGCTTCTGTTATTAGACAAGTGGTTTCCAAATATCAGAAGCAGTGCTAGGACTTAAAGGAAAAGGGGGAGTGTTTTTTCTTCTAATAGAACTTTTGAGCAGTGATGAAAGGAAAACAAGAAGACTCAAAAGATTATAAATCTCAGGCACGAATTAGTGTTCTGCCAATTAGGAACATTCTGATTGCTTGACAAGGTCTATATTTTGCTGATGAGGAGTAGAAGCCTGTGGGAGGTGGGGGTGGAAGCAGCAGAAGGAAAAGAGTAGCAAGTATTTAGTAAAATGTATTCATCATAGTGGATAAAAATCAAGCTTTGGGGAAAAAGGTCAAACTCCTTCAATGATGCTGTACATCTGTACCTTTACTCCATCCTATAGCAAATATTTGTATAACTGCACAGAAGAAATTGGACAATATTCCTTGAAAAATTCTTAGAAAGTTCAACTTTCCAAGTTAGTATCACCCCAAGGAAAATTATATGAGTAGGAATACCTAATTTCTAGCCATACTCTAGTTCCAATTAGCTTCTCTAAGTAGCTGGAACTGCAGGCGTGTGCCACCACACCTGGCTAATTTTTTGTATTTTTGGTAGAGAAGGGGTTTTGCCGTGTTGCCCAGGCTGCTAAGATTTTTATATATAGTGTATAGAAAGAGTTGGTTTTCTTGGCCAGGCATGGTGGCTCGCACCTGTAATCCCAGCACTTTGAAAGGCTAAGGCAGGTGAATCACCTGAGCTCAGGAGTTCAAGACCAGCCTGGCCAACATGGCGAAACTCCGTCTCTACTAAAAATACAAAAATTAGCCGGGCATGGTGGCACGCACCTGTAACCCCAGCTACTTGGGAGGCCAAGGCAGGAGAACCACTTGAACCCAGGAGGTGGAGGTTGCAGTGGGCCAAGATTGGCCACTGCACTCCAGCCTGGGTGACAGAGCAAGACTCTGTCTCAAAAAAGAAAGAGTTGGTTCTGTTAAACAATATTTATTTCTCATAATAACCCTATGAAAGCAGATACAGACTTCTGGCTTTTTAGGATTGGTATTTCACTTGTTGAACACCTACCCTTGTGTCAGATGTATAGCAGGTTAACAAAGTCAATACAGTGATACACTTGACATAATCTTTGTTCTGAGTTTTTTTCCCAATTATAGTAAAATTGGAGGTCTTAACTGTTCTACATTAGATAAATATATGCATTTGTTTTAAAGAGCTAAGCAATGAGAATCTTACAACTAGAGCTGAAGTTCAAGAAATAAATGTCCAATGATTAAATTTTTTCCACTGCTGTTCACATCATGATTTGTTGTGATTAATGTATGTGGATGAGGACATAATAGAAAAAGAAAATGATGAGACTTGTATATATTGTGTTTCTGCACAATGAGTTCCTTTGAATGTTTTTCGTTTTAGGAATAAAATTGAAGGGTGTTTTTCTTAGAGAACATCATTTGTCATATTTATTTGATCAAGAAGTTGAAGATTTATATAATAAGGTATGGGACTTACACATTTATTTTGATAAAAGAACACAGAAAAGGTCAGGTATGAGCAGAAAATTGACATTTATTTCAGCCTAATGTGGATACTGTACTCTGAATTAAAAATTTCTTTTCCTTACTCTTCCAGCTTTTAAAGATAAGTATTATTTCAAAATAGTATTTTTTTAATTAATAGATTCAATTCAGGAAAGGCATTGGAGGGGGTGGAGCTTTTAACTTTGACAGTCTCACTCTGTTGCCCAGGCTGGAGTGCAGCGGCGCAATCTCTGCTCACTGCAATCTCTGCCTCCTGGGTTCAAATAGTTATTGTGGCCCAGCTTCCCAAGTGGCTGGGATTAGAGGCGCATGCCACCACACCCAGCTAATTTTTTTTATTAAGTAGAGACCATGTTTTGCCATGTTGGCCAGACTGGTCTCAAACTTCCAGCCACCAACCTCAGCCTCCCAAAGTGCTGGGATTATAGTCATAAGCCACCACACCTGGCTGTTGGTTATCTTTTCTTAGAAATAATGATATAATCTTTTCAGCACCTGATATTCTTAAAGATCCAGGGTTTACAAATGACTGTTAGATATGCCAAGGATGACTAGCCTATAACTTAAGGATCTGTTCAGGAACAGTAGAAAAGAAGGTGATAGGAAACTGGGAATCTTAAATCTAATACTAGTTCTGTCATGAATTAGGCTTGTTATTGTAGTTGTTTCTCAAATTTAAGAAAATATGAGGGGTCTTGAAAAAGTGCATGGAAAATGCATATCATGAAAAAACTATGCATGGATTTCAAAATTTTTGGACCAAAATAAACTCCTACTAACTTGTTATAACATGTCTGAACAGGATCTAGTTTGAAGCACTAAGAAGAATAAGACATCAGTTTGAAAAGAGGCTCTATCAGAACAACACGAATTCTGCTAAAATTGAAGCAAGAACAAACATCAAATATATGTTGACACTTGGGTGGAAGAATGGTGAACTAATTGATGCTTTATGAAAAGTTGATAGGGACAGTGCTCCAAAGAAATCAGTTTACAAATGGATAACTCGTTTTAAGAAGGCATAAGGTAATGTTGAAGAAGAAGCCCACAGTGGCAGATCATCCACATCAGTTTGTGAGAAAAAAGTTAGTTCATGGCGTAATTGAAGAAAACCAACAATTAACAGCAGAAACAACAGCCAACACCATAGACATCTCAGTTGGTTCACCTTACACAATTTTGACTGGAAAAGTTCAGCAAACTTTATACCTGATAGGTACCAAAACCATTGCACCCAGATCAGCTACAGACAAGAATAGAGCTTTCAATGGAAATTTTAAATAAGTGGGATCAGGATCTTGAAGCCTTTCATTGAAAAATTGTAACAGGAGATGAAACATGGCTTTACCAGCGCAATCCTGAAGACAAAACACAAAGCAGTGGTTACCAAGATAAGTAGTTCAGTTAAAGCACAAGAGGACTGGTTGAGAGCAAAGGTCATGGCAACAGCTTTTGAATGCTCAAGGCATTTTGCTTGTTGACTTTCTGTAGGGCCAAAGAATGGTAACGTGCTTATCATGGGAGTGTTTTGAGAAACTTAGCCAAAGCTTCAGCAGAAAAATCCCCGAGAAAGACCAGAGAGTTCTTCACCACAACAATGTTCCTGCTCATCCCTCTCATCAAACAAGGCCATTTTGCAAGAGTTTTGATGGGAAATCACTAGGCATCCACCCTACAGTCCTGGTTTGGCACCTTCTGACTTTTTGTTTCCTAATCTTAAAAAAATTTTTCAGGGCAGTACATTTTTCTCAAGTTAATGTATAAAGAAACTGCATTGATGTAGATAAATTCCCAGAACTCTCAGTTCTTTAGGGATGGACTAAATAGCTGGTATCATCACTTACAAAAGTGTCTTGAATGCTATAGAGCTAATGTTCAAAAATATAGTTTATATTTTTTATCTTTTAACCATTTTTCCACAAACTTTTTGAAGTCTCCTTGAATATGTACCATTTATAAAGGGGAAAAATTCTGTGACTACTCATGTTGACTTAATGCTGACTTAATTTTCTGTTTTGTAAATATATACAAACAAGTTGATACAAATTTTGTTTATAGCCCTTAAACAAATTTGTGAAATAAATGCATTCAGAAACAAACTAAAACAATGAAATGGATGCTACTGTTTTACTGAGGTGTAAGCATAGTACTGGCTGCTATGGAAAAAGTTACATAAACATTCATGTATCTTGTGATGATTGTTTTGTCTACAACTTCACTCTTTGCAGACATCAAGACTGTTGAAATGAGGGGAAGGGATCTGAATTCCCAAAAGAATGTCAAATGGGCATGGAGGCTCATGCCTATAATCCTTGCACTTTGGGTGGCTAAAGCAGAAGGATCCCTGGAGGCCAGGAGTTCCAGACCAGTATGGGCAACAAAATGAGTCCCTGTGTCTACAGAAAATAAAATAATTAACCAGGCATGGTGTTGTGTGCCTGTAGTCCTAGCTACTTGGGAGGCTGAGGTGGGAGGATCACTTGCGCCCTGGATGTTGAAGCTGCAGCGCGCTGTGATCATTGCCACCACACTCCAGCCTGGGCAACACAGCAAAAACCTGTCTCTAAAAAAACCTAGAATATCTTTGTGCTATGCAAATCCTAATTTGAAAAATTTGTCATTAAATTCTCTCCAAACATTCTTCTAGTGAGCAATTCAGTTTTTATTTGATTCAGGATTAGGCTTGGATAGTAGTTAACTAAATTGGATTTAGTTTTGTGAACTAAAGAGTTTTTCTTTTTTTAGATACAGGCAGTCTTTGCACAGTTCCAATATGCATAAATACCAGTGACCACAGTTAAATAAAACCAGTCCAACAATGTGGTTAATAATTCCATTACCACAGTACTGAGAAAACTTGCATAAATTTTGCTGCTAGCTCTTTAGTCCACAAATCATTGTGCCCCCCCCCCCAAAAAAAAGATGTGCATCATGATCAGTCGCCAGTTACATTACTTTGCTTTCAAAGTTTGTTGATTTGTTACTGATCATCTGTTTAGTTCATGCACAGATAGCAGAGCACAAAGTGCATAGTACTGTTGCCTCCTTGACCCCAGAGATTAAACTTGTGACCATTTATAAAAATGGATAATTAAAAGAGGTAATTGGTCAACAAAGGACAGAGCAGCAAAGAAAAGTGATAATGCTGGAAGTGAAATTGGATGTGATTAGATTTGAAAGTGGTGACAGCAAAGCAAAGATAGGTTGAGACCCAGACCTGCATGAAGCTGTAATACAAGCCTATTGAAAAAGTCTGATAAATGTAAAAAGGTAAAGTTGCTTCAACGTCTTTCAGTTTTAATTGCACTAGGAACAGAAAGCTGCTTGCGGTTGAAATGGAGCATTTACTTGTTTGAATTGAAGACTAATCAAAAACAAATCCCAATCAGTTTGACTAGCATTCAGGCCAAAGTGATAACCTTAGTTACTGCGTTGAAAGAAAATGGTAATTAGAAGACTGAAAGAGAATATATTACTACCAGTAAAAGTTGGGTTCATTATTTCAGAAGTTGGCGTGAATTGATGTTAAGCTGTCTTATGAAGCTGCAAGCTTCAGATGGAATGTTACAGAAGATGTAGCTGACTGTGGGAATGTTAACACTGCTGCTGTTCAAGGGGCAGGATCCTTCTGCTTTAGCTACCCAAAGTGCAAGAGTTGGCTTTGAATGCTAGATGTAATGAGAAAAGAACTTGTCTAGAAGTTAGGAGATCTGGGTTGAATCCAATTTCTGGTAATTTAGCAAGTGATTTTCCTTTGGCTTCACCTTGCTGTAAAATAATTCCTCCCTAAACTAAAAGTACACTTAGGCAACGCATCTAATTAGATTTGAGGTTGTGGAGAAACAGTGGCAGAAGGTGAGTGCTACCGGGTCTCAATACCATGGGATAGTAACAAGTATGAAACGGTACTAATTGGAATTAATATAACACCCCATCTATACCTCTTTGTCCACAATAGCCTTTGGGAATGCCCAGATTGTTTCACTTTGTATAAGTTCTCAAAACGCCAGAATGTGCAATCAAGTGGGTAATTTTAAGAACTCAGTCACAAATTACAATAAAGCCCTTGCAGCCCGATTTTCCACCTGGTTTGGCGCGGGCAGTGTCGCCAGGGGCTGCCGACGCCTCACAGGACTAGTGCTACGTGGCGTTCCTGCGGGCCACGGCGGTTATTCGGCCAGACGGGGACACCCTCTGCACTAGTCCTTTACCCACTAGTCCTGGCTACCCCATCCACATTCTGCGCGCCGCCCCTCAGAAAAGGGTTTCTACGATCGCCGGGGCGCGATGACCGCAGAGCGCCACCAACCAGCGGAGCCGTACCCCGCCTCCCAGGCTACCGCCGGTCCCGGAAGTGCCGTGGCGGGCTGTGCGTCGGGTGGGCGGGGAAAGATGTCGCTCCCGGAAGTGTTGGGCGCAGGGCGTGGCTGCGGCTGCGGCTGCCACGTTGGAACGGAACGTGGAGGTGGCCCTGGCCGGGGAGGAGGGGCGGCGGCGAATGCTGGGAGAGTCCGACGAGCGCTGCACTAACGCAGGATCCGGCTGCCGAAGGTCCTCGCCAGGTGCGTCCGCCCGTTGCTTTTTGTCCTCTTCGCCGGTCCTTAAGCTTTGAGGTAGAGCCCAGGCCAAAACTGGGACCGCAGCCTGGGTCTCCGCTGCCCCGCACCAGCCTGAGGCCCGGTCTCTGGTGACGGCGCGCCCCTAGTCTTGGTTTCGGGCCCGGCGGAACAACGCCTGGCATCTGGACTCCAGTGATCGCGCCCGTCCGCATTCGCCGACGTCTCCACTGCTGAGCAAAAGCCACCCGAGGCTGGCGACAGTGTCTTGCCGGGGAGTAGTAGCCGGGCTGGTAACTGGAGTTTGAGATTAGGAGACTTTCAGACCCTTGTGCACAAAGAGGTGCGGTCCCCGAGGGTGAGGAGAGGAAAAAAAATCTCAGGATTACTTTGGCTTTGGTTAGGATTTTTTTTTGTACTTGAACTATTGCCAGATTTAAAGGTTCATAGGTTTGAACTGACGTCTACTGTCATTTAACTAGGATTATTTTAAGGACGGTGGTAGCCAGGCGCAGCCTGTACTTTGAGGGCAGTCTCATTAAGTGTTACATGTTTTTGCTAATAAGTTGTTAAATTACGGGGCTGTTGTAAAATAAACCAAAATATTGCCTGGACTTGTGGGCATTATAAATTTTTTCTTGCGCTTAAGGAATTAATTTTACGTAGGGCTATTTGAAGTTGCAGTGATCTGAT
Organism: Homo sapiens; assembly: GCF_000001405.40. Classification (NCBI taxonomy): domain Eukaryota; kingdom Metazoa; phylum Chordata; class Mammalia; order Primates; family Hominidae; genus Homo; species Homo sapiens. Next base: position 82,890,400 of record NC_000004.12, on the reverse strand, counting down.
AGTCTGTGACAAATCCTTTCTCCTAACTTATTTTTTCTAACTATAGAAAACTGAAATTTGGTTGTCTTTGTGGGCAGTTATAACTGTATTTAATCGATAAGGGTGTGTTCTTGTTACAGCGTCCTGCGTTTTCTGTACCTCCGTTTATTCAAGAGTTGGCAAAAGCTTACTCTCCTTTTTTTTTTTTTTTTTTTTTTTTGAGACGGAGTCTCGCTCTGTCACCCAGGCTGGAGTGCAGTGGCGCGATCTCAGCTCACTGCAACCTCCGTCTCAGCCTCCTGAGTAGCTGGGATTACAGGCGCCCACCACCACACCTGTCTAATTTTTGTATTTTTAGTAGAGACGGGGTTTCACGCTGTTGGTCAGGCTGGTCTGGCACTCCTGACCTCAAGTGATCCGCCCGAGTTGGCCTCCCGAAGTGCTGGGGTTACAGGCATAAGCCACCACGCCCAGCCTACTCTCCTTTTTTAGTGGTTCTTCTGTGCTCCTTGTTTCTCACTATCCCTTAATTAACAGCTCAGGGAGAGGTTTGTAGACTCTTAAGAACTTTTGGATAACTCGTAGTGTTTTTGTAGTTTTGTAGTGATTTTATCTTAAATACGTCCGCGGTTATTTGTGAAATTTGAAATTTGAGGTGGATTTATAATGATATTGCTTAATTTTATATAAGCAAATTCTTTATTGAAACCAATAACATGGGAATAGAAATAAATTTGTAAACTGTGAAGAGCAATGATTCAAAATTTTGGGGGGATTTCACTGTCTTACGGGAATCTAATGAAAGCATTGGAAGAATGCACATATACACACATGTAGGATTTTCTTTTTTTTTCTTTTACTTTTTTTTTTTTTTTGAGACAGGGTCCCTCTTTGTTGCCCAGATTGGAGTGCAGTGGTGCAGTCATAGCTCACTATAACCTTGAACTTTTGGGCTCAAGAGATCCTCCCGCCTCAGCCTCAGAAGTAGCTAGGAATATGCACGTGGCGCACGCCCAACTAATCTTATTTTTTATAGAGATGGGGGTCTCACTGCGTTCCCCAGGCTGGACTCAAGCTCCTGCTTTCAAGTGACATGTAGGATTTTCTATATACATAATATTATGAAGTTTACAAGTTAAAAACTCCTGTAAGGGGATATTACTAGATTGATTTACATTGATTACATTGTTGTTAGGAATGTCATTAGGTTAATTTCAGCTCAAAAAGTTTTATTATACTGAAGATTAGTATGACACCAATTAGTTCAGTAACCAGTGCACAGTTGCTTTCTCCTTTGATTTGGTTTGGGTTGAGTGAAATGAACCTAGAACATTGAAAATACTAAATAAATCCTCTAAACAATTGTTTCTATCCATATTGAGATATTTTGCCTGCAGAAAATGGATTTTTACTGAAAGCAGTGCCAACTAGGGATTGTATACCTGGTTTGGGAATCCAAGTTCCAATTCTATTACCTCTTTAACTTTTTACTTGCTTTCTGAGTTATGGATCAGCTCTGTATATAGCATTGCAAGGTTGGTATTTTTCAAAGAACAGTGCTGGTGGGTTTTAGTATTGCTTCACAAAATTTACACTTTGAAAATGAGCAGAAATAAAAAAGTTTCCACCTAATTGAATGCAATTATTGAGAGAAAGTTGCATGAAAAATAAAGAGTTCTAGTCTAGAATATAAATTTTCCTCAAGAAATTTTTTTTTTTTTTTATTTTTTTCTGAGGCAGAGCCTCGCTCTGTCACCCAGGCTGGAGTACATTGGCGCGATCTCGGCTCACTGCAAACTCCGTCACCTGGGTTCAAGCGATTCTCCTCCCTCAGTCTCCCGAGTAGCGGGGACTACTGGCCGCGCCATCACGCGCAGCTAATTTTTGTATTTTTAGTAGAGACAGGGTTTCACCAGGTTGGCCAGGATGATCTGGATGTCTTGACCTCGTGATCCGCCCGCCTCGGCCTTCCAAAGTGCTGGGATTACAGGTGTGAGCCACTGCGCCTGGCCGTGTCTGTGTGTATATATATATATGTTTTTTGTGTGTTTTTTTTTTTTTTTTTTTTTTTGAGACGGAGTCTCGCTCTGTCTCCCAGGCTTACTGCAACCTCTGCCTCCCGGGTTCAAGCGATTCTTCTGCCTCGGCCTCCTGAGTAGCTGGGATTACAGGTACACACCACCACGCCCGGCTAGTTTTTGTATTTTTTAGTGGAGACGGGGTTTCGCCATGTTGGCCAGGCTGGTCCCGAACTTCCGGCCTCAAGTGATCTGCCCACCTCGGCCTCCCAAAGTGCTGGGATTACAGGCATGAGCCACTGCGCCTGGCTAATAGATGTTTTTTTTGTTGTTGTTTGTTTGTTTGTTTGTTTGTTTTGAGACAGAGTCTTGCTCTGTCACCCAGGCTGGAGTGCAGTCGCATGATCTCAGCTTACTGCAAGCTCTGCCTCCCGGGTTCACGCCATTCTCCTGCCTCAGCCTCCCGAGTAGCTGGGACTACAGGCGCCCGCCACTGCGCCCGGCTAATTTTTTGTATTTTTAGTAGAGACGGGGTTTCACCGTGGTCTCGATCTCCTGACCTCGTGATCCGCCCGCCTCGACCTCCCAAAGTGCTGGGATTACAGGCGTGAGCCACCGCGCCCGGCCTAATAGATGTATTTTTGAAGTTTCGTGGTGGTAGACGTTTTAAGTAGTGATGTTTGTAATAACTGTCATTTATGAGCATTTGTTTATATATGCCAGGCACTGTTCTAACCACTCTGAGTAATACCACTTATTTCTCACAACAACCCTGTAGTATAGATACTGTTCTCCTTATTTTAATGAGAGAGGAGCCAGGACATACATGGATAAAGCGACATGATTAAAGTCAGAGGTGGACATAGTGAAGCTGGAATTTAAACTGAGGGTGTCTGCCCTAGACCCCATGCTCTTAATTGCCGTGCTATAGATACTGTCTTGGAGATGGCATGTATGAACAAGCCCACACAATTTTCTTTTCCTTTCTTTTTTCTTTTCTTTTCTTTTCTTTTCTCAATGTTTTCTTAGAACATTGAGTACTAAGGCTAAGAAATAAACTTTAGTAAATGCTTTGAATTCACATTTAACTATTTTATGTTCTTATAAATGTGTCTCTTTCTTTTTCAGTCAATGTTACACATTAACCAAGCATTAATGAATTAGGTAGTCCTTGTACTTAGGTCTTAGAAATACTATAATTGTATTCCATTTTTTTAATAATACAGCTATTTTGATTTCACTTTTAGAAATTATTCTGAAGGCATCTTATAACCTTTTCCCCCTTAACCATACTTTCTCCTTTTTTAAAAAGTAAATGATCCTTTAAAGAGTTAAGAATTTAAAAGTAAATGTTTTATCTGAAACTGGTCACTCTAGCTCATTAGTCTACTTGTTTTCCCCTAAATATAAACATTTAAAATAAATCAAAACTTTCTGTATATCTCCTTCTGTGCTAAGCAATTTTGAGTCTAAAAAGGGGTAAAAGTTTTGAAAAAAGACGTTATTTGTCTAGTTGGTGAGATAAGATAGCACATAAGGCAACTGGTTAAAAAAAGGTAATTGGAAAATATGTAAACAATATGTGCTAGTAGAATGTTACAAAATGTTTATTAAAATATAATGACGTTATTATAAAATGCTTAAATCATAGTATTGACAAGTACAAACTTGTCGGGGAGTATTTAGATCAATGTGGATTGAATCATCAGGGCAGTTTTCATGGAGGAGCTGGAACTTGAATTTATTATTAAAGATCAGGTGAGACAGTTGGCAAAGAGGAAGAAGAGGAGATTCATGTAAGAAAATAAATGCCTTTTTTATATCTTAGAAAGTTGGAATTTTTCCCCCCAAATAACCCTGAAGTTTTCTTGTTTAATCTCATGATAGTGGTAATCTTTAAAAATAGCAAACCTATCAAAAGCACTAACCCATGTGCTGAGCACTTTTTTTGGCTCCCTATTATAAAACGTATGATCTCATTGGAACCTCACAGCATCCCATGAGGTTGTCACTCTTTTCCCTATTTTACGAATGTAGAAACTGGGGCTCAGGGAGGTTAAATAATGTGTCCAAAGTATCATAGCTAATAAGTAACAGAGCCAGTAGTTAAATTGAGGATTAACTCCAGAGACCATGCTTTTAACCATGTGATACATCCTGCCTCCTAATCTCACTTTGCTCTAACCTAACACAATTTCTAAAATGCATTTCTTCAGTTTCATCATGCATGCTGGTTGCTTTGTTATTGTTTCTTCTAAATGTTAATATTTCCTCTATGATATAAAAATTGAATACCTGAACTTGTTGGAAGTAGAAAGAACTCTGGAGCTAAACTTGCAAGTTCCAATCTTGGCTCTGCCCCTTGCCCCCTTGCTAGCATGTACAGATTGTCTAACTTTCTGTGTCTTAATTTTTTCCTCTATAAAATCTCCTTCAAATATAAACAATTTGCAGGTACAAGACTCGGAGCATATGTTTAAGGCAATCTTAAGGAAAATGTTAGAGGATAAACTCTGGAGCTGAGTAAGGAAACTGGCAAAAATACTCTTGGAGAGCATTGAGTATGCATTTTAACTGCAGGACTGAGACTGGAACAAAAGTGAGAATGAGGAAGAAAGAATAAAATGTAAATGTTAAATGTCCAATAATGTAAGGGATTGATTATACAACTAATAAAAAGAGAAGAGGAAAGAAATTGGAGGTAGAATAAGTTTGTGAATTGCCACATCTGTAATGGCTATGAGTCAAAGGACATCATTTAAAGCTGACAGATCAGTTAGTAGAAGTATAAGGAGTTCAAAGGTAAACACTGAGAAAGATAATACTATTGACTATAACCATGTTGTGTGGATGGGCAGTAAGATTATACAAGCTAATTTCATAAGTGCTCATAGTAGGGAGTTAATAGTTTCTGTGTAAAGAAATAGAGGATTAATGGTATTAAGTAAAATATTTAAAATTACAGTTAAAAAGATAGAATCAGAAACACATATTATAATGAAAATATACATCATCCTAATTATCAGAAAAATGGTAATTGCACAAAAAAGAAAACAGACAATGAAAGACTTTTTAAAAATTATTACCCAAAGATATTAAACCAAAGTAAAATATGGTAAAACTAAGACCAACCATGTCTGTCATGTCAATACATTTTAAATGTCCTTAGCTAACCTACTGTGAAAAGATTTTCAAATTGGATCACCAGTAAAATCTGTTGGTTTTTTGTTTGTTATTTTGTTTGTAATGATGACAAAGTAGTTCTGAAGGGCAAAAGTATACATGTAAAGGCAAACAAGAGGTGGAATTCAGACCAAAAGTCATTATTTGAGACAAAGAAGGATATTCATAAAGCTAAAGTGTATATTTGACAGTGAATTTGAACATTATGGATATGCACCAAATAACTATTAAATAACAAAGTAATTTTCATAAAGCAAAAGTTTCAGGAGATACCATGAGAAATTGACATAAATATATTAGCAGTAAGAGACTTAATTCACTGTTTCGGTCCAAGGCAGATCAAGTGGACAAAAAAGTAAGGATATAGGAGATCTAAACAAATCAATAAAGAGGACTTAGTTAATATATATTGAGCTCTAGGCCCTGAAAACAGAGAGCACCCCTTCTTTCTAGGTCCCAAGAACAATTCACAAAAATTCACTATATAGGCTCTATTGAAAGGAAAGGAGGAATTATAGGCATAGGGGATTTTAGGACAAGGGAACTACTCTGTGTGATACTATAATGACAGATACATGTTGTTATACATTTGTCAAAACCCATAGAATATACAACACCTAGAGTGAGCCCTCATATAAATTGTGGAGTTTCAGTGATAATGATGTGTTCATGTTAGTTTATGGATCGAAACAAATAGACCTTTATGATGTGCGATGTTGGTGGTGAGAAAGGTTATGTGGTTGGGAAATGTGTAGCAATTTTTTGTACTTTGTGGCTCAACTTTTCTAGGAACGTAAAACTCTAAAAGATAAAGCATATAGCTTTTTTTATTTTTAATCAAAATCCTATGAAAGGTGAAAAGAAATTTTTTTTTTGAAAAAAGCAAAGTCAAAAGATAGTCTATCAACTTAATAGAAAAATTGTCGAATGATGGCCGGGCGCAGTGGCTCACCCCTGTAATCCCAGCACTTTGGGAGGCTGAGGAAGGTGGATCACCTGAGGTCAGGAGTTCGAGGCCAGCCTGGCCAACATGGTGAAACCCCGTCTCTACTAAAAATACAAAAAAATTAGCCTGATGTGGTGGTGTGTGCCTGTAATCCCAGTTACTTGGGAGGCTGAGACACCAGAATCGCTTGAACCCGGAGGCAGACGTTGCAGTGAGCCGAGATCGCCCCACTGTGCTCCAGCCTGGGTGACAGAACGAAACTCCATCTCCAAAAAAAAAAAAAAAAGAATAGAAAAGAAAAATGGTCAAATAATACATGACTAGACAGAAGAGATGACAGAAAAGGAAATATGTTTACCCATAGTCATACAAAAAAAAGATGTTATACATCATTTATAGTATTACTATACAGAGCTAACATTTTTATTTTTCTCTTTTTTTTTTTTGAGTCATGGTCTCACTCTGTCGCCCAGGCTGGATTGCAGTGGCGCAATCACGGCTCACTGCAGCCTCAACTTCCCGGGCTCAAACAATCCTTCCTCCTCAACCTCCCGAGTAGCTGGGACTACAGGCGTGCACCACCATGCCCAGCTAATTTTTGTATTTTTTCTAGAGATGGGATTTCACCATGTTGTCCAAGCTGATCTTGAACTCCTGGGCTCAAGCAATCCACTTGCTTCGGCTCCTAAAGTGCTGGGCTTACAGGCCTGAGCCACTGCACCTGGCCTTTCATTTTTTAGTGTTGGTATGATCTAAAAGTGTGACAGTATGCTCTGATAAGGCTGTAGGGCAATAAGTAATCGTATATTACTGTTGGTGGTATGAAAAGGCACAATTGCCATAGAGGACAACTTGGTAATATTCATCAAAATTAAAATTGCATTAACCTTTTAACTTAGCAATTTTACTTCTGGAAATTTATAGCTGTCCCTTTTTAATGAAATAACGTGCAGATGACCATTTATTTCAGCACTTTTTTGTAAAAATAGCTAAAAACAGCTTAGGTGTTTGTTGGTATTAGACTAGGTAATTATGGTACATCTTATAGTGCAGTACTATGCCATTTCAATATATTTATGTAAAAATAACAAAGATCTTTAAAAAGTACATAATACTATACCGTTGTAATTTTTCCATCAAAGTAACTTTTTTTTTGAGACCGAGTCTCGCTCTGTTGCCCAGGCTGGAGTGCAGTGGCATGATCTCGGCTCAATGTAACCTTCACCACCTGGGTTCAAGTGATTCTTCTGCTTCAGCCTCCCAAATAGCTGGGATTACAGGCATGCACCACCACACCTGGCTAATTTTCTTGTATTTTTAATAGAGACGGGGTTTTGCCATGTTGGCGAGGCTGGTCTCGAACTCCTGGCCTCAAGTGATCCAACTGCCTCGTCCTCCCAAAGTGCTGCGATTGCAAGCATGAGCCACCATGCCTGACTCCATCAAAGTAACTTTAATGACAGAAAATACGTAAACAAGTGGTATATGGGATTATACCTTGAAGTGACCAGTTTTCTAATAATTTCTACTTTATCTTTAAAATCTGTGGGCTTACTATATTCTCTCTAATATGTTGTAACTTTGAATTAATTTTTTAAACTGCTCTTATCATTGAGTAATCCTACTCCAGGAAGTTGCACCTTATTTATTTTTTGGCTGCTCTTACCCGTAATGTTTTGTCATCCATCCTAGTTGGATAAACACATGTGTAGCAAAGTTAATTCTTCAGGTACTACCTTATTATTTTTGTGGGCTATTTTTCTAGACTGATTCAACTGAAGAACTATAATCTGTAAACAGAATAGCCCAGTATTTGTCTCAAAATGGTTTATCAAGTTTGTCTTTTTTTTTTTTTTTTTTTTTTTTTTTTTTTGAGATAGAGTCTTGCTCTCTCGCCCAGGTTGGCATGCAGTGGTGCAATCTCAACTCACTGCAAGCTCTGTCTTCCGGGTCATGCCATTCTCCTGCCTCAGCCTCCTGAGTAGCTGGGACTACAGGTGCCCGCCACCACGCCCGGCTAATTTTTTGTATTTTTAGTAGAGATGGGGTCTCACCATGTTAGCCAGGATGGTCTCAATCTCCTGACCTCGTGATCCGCCCGCCTTGGCCTCCCAAAGTGCTGGGATTACAGGCATGAGCCACCCGGCCTCAAGTTTGTCTTCTTTCTAATGAATATATCCAACAAATGACACCTAAACCGATTTGATTTATTTGCAGTTGGGCATTACTAATGTTGTAGTGGTTTGTTCAGTATGTTTCTATTTAAAATATCTGTGTTCTGTGTTAGACATTCAAGTCATTCAAGGCTGTTTCTGTATAAAATATTCCCTTTAGCAGGATGAAGTTAAAGGAAGTAGATCGTACAGCCATGCAGGCATGGAGCCCTGCCCAGAATCACCCCATTTACCTAGCAACAGGTAAGTTCAAAGGAGAGAAGATAGTATGAGTTACCTAATTTCTTCTCTTCTGCACCTAGCTTATTCAGTTTAAGCTTTATCTTCTCTAGAAAGCCTCTCTCTCCCTGGCAAGTTACTGACATTCTATCAGCCAAGTTTAGTGTTCTTCCTCTGTGTTCCCATAGCATTTTGATCATGATGTGTTACATCTAAAATATTTTCCTTCACAGGAATTGTATTTTATCTTTATTCCTCCAGTATTAAGCACAATAGATGGCATGTAAAAAAAACAGTTAATATCAGTTTGAATGAATGAAGAGCAATTTTGATGTTAGCATTTTTATATAAAAAGAAATAGTTATATCATATATGTCTATAAGCAGATATAGTAAATCACGGGACTTTTTTTTTTTTGAGATGGAGTCTTGCTCTTTCGCCCAGCCTGGAATGCAGTGGCGTGATCTCTGCTCACTGCAAGCTCCACCTCCCTGGTTCCTTCCATTCTCCTGCCTCAGCCTCCCAAGTAGCTGGGACTACAGGCGTCCACCACCATGCCTGGCTAATTTTTTGTATTTTTAGTAGAGATGGGATTTCACCATGTTAGCCAGGATGGTCTTGATCTCCTGACCTCATGATCCACCCATCTCGGCCTCCCAAAGTGCTGGGATTACAGGCATGAGCCACCGTGCCCAGCCCCCATCACGGGACCATTTTTACAGAGATTTTTAAATATATACAGGCTTAAAAAATTATTTACACTACCCACTCTTATAAACATCCTCTCCTAGCCCTGTGCCAGAATCTCATTGCTATAGTAATTTAAGCATCTGCTCAATGGCATATGTGCAGCATTCATGAGCAAGAGAATGGAAAACATGCTTTTAACTTCTGTTTTGTATGGTTTCTCTGATCTTTTATTTTTGTGTGTATAGTTACCATAAATATATTTTCTATAGGAACATCTGCTCAGCAATTGGATGCAACATTTAGTACGAATGCTTCCCTTGAGATATTTGAATTAGACCTCTCTGATCCATCCTTGGATATGAAATCTTGTGCCACATTCTCCTCTTCTCACAGGTATGAGGTTCAGCTTTAAATTCATGTGATTATTTAATTATATATTGTTCTTGATTCCTAATTTGTCTATAATTATGCCATTATTAGAAACTACAAGGAATACCATCAAGAACATGAAATATTTTGTGAAAAAGCATGTGAGTGAATTTTTATGGAAGTAAAAGTAGTGTTTATGTGTTCTATTGACTTTTTTTTTTCTTTTTTTTTTTTGAGACAGAATCTTACTTCATAGCTCAGGCTGGAGTGCAGTGGCACGATCTCGGCTCACTGCAACCTCCACCTTCCAGGCTCAAGCAATTCTTGTGCCTCAGCCTCCCGAGTAGCTGGGATTACAGGTGCACACCACCTTGCCCAGCTAATTTTGTGTCTTTAGTAGCGACAGGGTTTTGCCATGTTGGCCAGGCTGGTTTTGAACTCTTGACCTCAAGCAATCCACCCACCTTAGCCTCCCAAAGTGCTGAGATTATAGGCATGAGGAATCACGCTTGGCCAGTATGTTCTGTTGGCTTTTTTATTGCTGTTACATGTAAGGTAGGAAGGAGAGGCTGTAGTTTCTAGCATTTTTTTCTGTTTTTTTGGTGTGTGTGTGGTTTTTTTTGTTTTTGTTTTTTTTTTGAGATGGAGTTTCACTCTTGTTGCCCAGGCTGGAGTGCAATGGCGCAATCTCGGCTCACCACAACCTCTGCCTCCTAGGTTCTAGCAATTCTCCTGCCTCAGCCTCCCGAGTAGCTGGGATTACAGGCATGTGCCACCATGCCTGGCTAATTTTGTATAGAGTTCTTTTTTCTATCTCCTTTATTGTGCCTGTTTACAAAAAGGTAGATGTGACTAGAAAAGGAGTAGTCATCGTAAGTATTAATAGTGATTATCTCTGAATGGTAGCTTATTTTTATTTTCTTCTGTTACGATATTTAGAAATATATCTCACAGTTTTGTTGACACGATTTCTAATACACTAGGTAACTAGGTATTTGGATCATACTTTCAAGTACTTATGCCCTATTGTAATGCAGAGAAAGGAGGTCTTCATTTCAGTAATAAAATAAGCTTTATTGCCTCAATATATTAGCAGGGTTTAAAGAGATTGCTCTTTAGCTGACAGAATATAGCTCAAATCATGCAGTTTCATGGGACCGCTCATATTCTTCAGAGCTGTCACAGTGGGATGGGAACCCCAGATACCTTTTGTCTAGTAGTTTTTCTGCTTACTACCATCTGTATCATCGTATACCTTTCTGCCTTCATATTTCATCTCCATTCTGGACCATATATTTTATTCTCTAATAGTAGGGGTACTTGTTATAATCTTGATGTCATTTTTCTACCATTAGAATACATTCTTTTTCTTAGAAAATTTCACATGACTCCTTTAACACCTTTACTATTTAACAGACCACTTGTTAGTGACCCCCCCTTTTTTTTTTTTTCAGACAAAGGTCAAAGCATGAGACCCTTCTATAGTCAAATAAAGAGTGTTTTTACCTTTCGAGGGAAGTGATTGATTAGCTCTATTTTACAATGAACCAGAGGCAATTTAAGAAGATTAAGTAACTTAGGGTCTCACAGTTTCTAAATGGTAAAATCATTCTTAAGCTCATATTTTTTGACACACAACTCAAGTATATTTTGTTACACTACCTTACAAGAGTTTTTACTCTTTAAGGATTACAAAATCACATATGCAAATATGAGTATAAATAAAAAATGAAATACTATTACACCAAAGTCATACATAGTTACCAGGAGTGGTGGGAAAGTAATATATTTGGATTGTTTATGAAAACATTAAAAATTAAGTGTATAATTTCAATTTTTTGTCTACATTTATTTGACTTTAAGAATGAATGATTTTATTCATTTTCTCCTGTAGGTACCACAAGTTGATTTGGGGGCCTTATAAAATGGATTCCAAAGGAGATGTCTCTGGAGTTCTGATTGCAGGTGGTGAAAATGGAAATATTATTCTCTATGATCCTTCTAAAATTATAGCTGGAGACAAGGAAGTTGTGATTGCCCAGAATGACAAGCATACTGGCCCAGTGAGAGCCTTGGATGTGAACATTTTCCAGGTTAAGACTTTAACATTTCATAATTCTTAGACTATGTGCTGCTCATTTGAAATCAGTATATGAATCTACTATGCCTCAGTTTTGGAATTGAAAGTTAAAAAACTGTGGCTATACAGGTTGACGAGTGTTTGTTTAAAGAATGGTGGGTTCAGAGTTGAGATCAGGGTTAAAAATACTACCTCCATGAAAAGGATCCGGCTGATAGGTTTTTGTTTTTGTTTTTGTTTTTGTTTTTTTGAGACGGAGTCTCGCTCTGTCACCAGGCTGGAGTGCAGTGGCATGATCTTGGCTCACTGCAACCTCTGCCTCCTGGGTTCAAGTGATTCTCCTGCCTCAGCCTCCCGAGTAGCTGGGATTACAGGCGCCTGCCACCACGCCCAGCTAATTTTTGTACTTTTAGTAGAGATGGGGTTTCACCATGTTGGCCAGAATGGTCTCGATCTCTTGACCTTGTGATCCGCCCGCCTCGGCCTCCCAAAGTGCTGGGATTACAGACGTGAGCCACTGTGCCCAGCTGGCTAATAGGTTTAAGTCTGAAGATGTCACGCCATTTGATTAGACATTTTATAAACATTAAGATCCCTATAGGTTGGAAACCTTGCCTTTTAAAAGTTCATGCTAGGTCAGCATTAGGCTGGTGCTGTGATGTCCAGGTTAATTCACTGTTTTATTAATTGAGAAATTTTATGTTTATGACAGAGATTAATACTCTATGAAATAATTAGAAATTAAATGTAATGGCTGGGCATGTGGCTCACACCTGTGTAATCCCAGCACTTTGAGAGGCCGAGGCAGACAGATCATGAGGTCAGGAGTTCGAGACCAGCCTGGCCAACGTGGTGAAACCCCGTCTCTACTAAAAATACAAAAATTAGCCGGGCATGGTGGCAGGCACCTGTAATCCCAGCTATTCGGGAGTCTGAGGCAGGAGAATCGCTTGAACCCGGGAGGCGGAGATCGCAGTGAGTTGAGATCGTGCCATTGCACTCCAGCCTGGGCAACGAGCAAAACTCAAAAAAAGAAAAAAGAAATGTAATGCAGATTTAACAAATAGTCAATTAAGATTCTTTGTACTGTTGCCTTCATAAACATTTCTGGTTGTTAATTATATAAATGCACAGCTTAATAACGATCTTAGCCTGAACAGGATGGTGAAACCCTGTCATTACAAAAAATGCAAACAATTAGCAGAACATGGTGGCACACGCCTGTAGTCTCAGCTACACGGGAGGCTGAGGTAGGTTGATGGCTTTAGCCTGGGAGGTCTACGCTGCAGTGAGCTATGATCACACCACTGCACTGCAACCTGGGTGACACATAGAGACCCTGTCTGGAAAAAAAAAAAAGACCTTGAGTTAATAGGATACTAGATTATAACAACCAAAAATGAGTATTAAGAAAATTTTAAATAGTTCCTTTTCTTATATTATAAATAGATACTTAGGGTATAGCAATACAGAAACCCAACTTGTTTATTTCTTTTTTGTTGTTGTTTTTTGTTTTTTGAAACAGCGTCTTGCTCCCTCTGCCAGGCTGGACTGCAGTGGCTCATGACTCACTGCAGTCTTGACCTCCTGGGCTCAAGCAAGTCTTCTGTCTCAGCCACCTGAGTAGCTGGGACTACAGGCATGAGCCACAACACCTGGCTAATTTTTGTAGAGACAGGGTTTTTTCGTGTTGGTCAAGCTGGTCCCAAACTCCTGGGCTCAAGTGGTCTGTCTGCCTCAGCCTCCCAAAGTGCTGTGACTACAGGCATGAGCCACTGTGCCCAGCCTTCGTTTCTATAGTTTGTGGTATCTGCTCTTTAGCTAACTCCTTTGTTAATTGTATTGAACAGCTGATGATTTTTAATAAAGTATTTTGTGTTATAGGTAGCTACTACCATAGAATGTCTCCCTTTTTTTAGTTATATGCCAACTGATAGAGAATAATTTGTAAGAGTAAATAGTAGTGGATGAAGGTCAGTATATGAAGCCCATTATCTTCCTGTACTTTATATTACAATTTCAGGTTCTTTTTGACCCTTAAGGTATGTACCAGAGAAAACCTAGAAATATTGCCACCTGGAATAAGATTGAGTGTATATGAACTAGAAATATGTGAAGAGTTATGACAAGAGATTTTACTAGTGCTGTATTGATTCAGCTCTGGAAGCTGGCTTTGAGGTATCCTGAGAAAGATGCCACAGTTTTAGGATTCAGCTTTTTCTGAAAGCAATAATTGATGACCTTTTTAATCTTATAATTAAATCTCCTTCCAGAGATGCAAAGATACAAACAGTAATCCTCACATGGTTGCATGACTGATTAAGAATTTATCCAGCCAGGTTTGGTGGCTCACGCCTGTAATCCCAGCACTTTGGGAGGCCGAGGCAGGTGGATCACCTGAGGTCAGGAGTTTGAGACCAGCCTGACCAACATGGAGAAACCCCGTCTCTACTAAAAATACAGAATTAGCCGGGAGTGGTGGTGCATGCCTGTAATCCTAGCTACTCGGGAGGCTGAGGCAGGAGAATCACTTGGACCCGGGAGGCGGAAGTTGTGGTGAGCTGAGATTGCACCATTGCACTCCAGCCTGGGCAACAAGAGCAAAACTCCATCTCAAAAAAAAAAAAAAAAAAAAGAATTTATCCATATAATTTTTAAAATAATATCTTGCATTAAAATTAATTTGTTCTCAGTAGACATCTTTTGTCTTTGTTAAGTAGAATTTTATGTTTTTCTAGAAAACTTTAAATTTTGAAAGAATTATGCATAATTTAGAAATTCATGCATATGTTTTTCACTTTTCAAATTAAATAGAAAAATTGTGTATGCTACATCTAATATCTTTCTAGCTCTGAACTGAGTTATTCTGAATTTTCTTAATTATTCATAAGTGCTATTTAGTTATGGTTTCTTCTTGCAGACTAATCTGGTAGCTTCTGGTGCTAATGAATCTGAAATCTACATATGGGATCTAAATAATTTTGCAACCCCAATGACACCAGGAGCCAAAACACAGGTATTTTTATATTGATTTTGATCATTGTAATCAAAAAAGCCAAAAGTAGTTCTCCTAAACCTACTTATTTCACTTTTAAGGCTTCTCACACAAAACATATATGTTTAAAATCATTGTTTAGATATTACTGATTTTTCTTCAGTAATTAATAAATATGTTTCTTCAAAGTATCAGTGAGTCCATCAAGAGTAAATATTTATTTAGTACCTACCACCTGGTAGACACTGGTCATTGTACTAGGCATACAGTAGTAAACAAAATGAACAAAAATCCTTAATAATTGTCTTAGATATAGTATAATTATTTTTGTTCTTTGTGTGATAGTTGCTCTGTGTTTTGGCAACAACCAACCTTCTTAAAACACACTTAGACAAGACCATGGAAGACAAGGTTTAAAATAAATACCTCAAGCCCTTTGCTTGTGTATTTCTATTAAGTTTGGTAACAACAGTCTTCTCCTGTTCTTCCCTGAGTTTCTTTATGTTGTATAGGCTATCCAACTTGAGTAGCCATTGTAACTGGCTCTAACATTTTGGCAATCTGAGAGGTAGCATAATGACAGCATATGCACTACCATTTATAAAGGTATTTTGCTAATGGTCTAGGCTGTAATTTTGCCCTGCCTAGTTTTCTGTCATAGTCACCAACATCTACTTTGTGGTCCATAATCTACCTTGCAGCAGTTGCAAAGTAAAGAAACAGTACTTGGTTTATAGCAGAAATTCAATAAAATTCTTGTTGAATGAGATATTATGAAACAAGATAATACACTTGAAGTGGTATGTACCTGCATTTTAAGTCATATAATTTTATGTGTTGAGAATGTAGAGATGTAGGACTATAAAGCAAATTTGTGGCATAAATGGATCAGATTTTTAAGTAATACACTTTTCAAAATGAAGGATCCAATTTTACAGTTAAATTTGATTATAATAGAGAAACAAGCAGTTTTTATTAACTGTTTCTTCCTTGTAGCCGCCAGAAGATATCAGCTGCATTGCATGGAACAGACAAGTTCAGCATATTTTAGCATCAGCCAGTCCCAGTGGCCGGGCCACTGTATGGGATCTTAGAAAAAATGAGCCAATCATCAAAGTCAGTGACCATAGTAACAGAGTAAGTATGTGATTGACTTGTGATGAACATGTTGTATTTCTGCTGTAGGTATTCCTATATTGTTTGTCAGAGTTGACAACAAATCAAATTTCTGTGAAGTCAAATCCTGTTTTTTTATTAATCAGTCATGTTAGAAGGAATGTTTTGTTTTTTTTCCTCTAAGGGAAAATCATAAAATTCCCAATAAATATGTTGGATATTATTAATGATGAAGAGAGATTGGTTAATCAAGGAACTTATTCCATGATATACTGGTGGTTTTGCTTTGCTAGCTGTTTTAAAACATTGCAGCAACTTTTTTTTTTTTTTTCTTGAGACGGAGTCTCGCTTTGTCGCCCAGGCTGGAGTACAGTGGCGTGATCTCGGCTCACTGCAACCTCTGCCTCCTGGGTTCAAGCACTTCTCCTGCCCCAGCCTTCCGAGTAGCTGAGATTACAGGCATGCACCATCAAGCCCGGCTAATTTTTGTATTTTTGGTAGAGATGGGGTTTCACCATGTTGGTCTGGCTGGTCTCAAACTCCTGACCTCGTGATCTGCCTGCCTCGGCCTCCCAAAGTGCTGGGATTACAGGCATGAGCTTCTGTGCCCGGCCATTGCAGCAACTTTTTAATTCATCTTTAACTTTTCTTAGAATGTAAAAATTTTTCCTGCTGGAAGCTTCATCACTGTGAACTTGTAATATTTGACTTCTTGGCCTCATCTCTTCCTCTGATTAGGTACTGCTAAAATGAGCTAATATATTTTCGGCACTTACCCATAGAGCACATTAAATTCTGAACCTTTTAGGTATCTTTATTTTTTTATGTCATTAGATGCCATAAAATAATTTAGATATAATTTGGAGCTTTTTTTGTTTGTTTGTTTATGAGTACATTGGATAGTTTGACATTTTCTAAAATAAGTTTGCCAAAAGTCAGGCATACATATGTAGTTTAAAAACAACAATAACAACAAAAAACTATTTGGGAGAACACTTCTTCAGAGTATTGTTTTCAAGTGAATCAGGAGTTTTAAAACAGAAGTTTCAATGGAATAAACCATACCAGAAGCATTTTAGTCATTTTGTGGAATATTTAATAGAATTTGAACTTGCAGATAGTTCCTAATAATGTTAATTTATTCCATATGAAAATTTAAATGGTAGTTTTTGCTTCAGATATTTTGCCTTGATTTTTCTGATAAAATAGAGGAAAAGTATGGGGTTTTTTTGTGTCTTGTGTGTGTGTTAATTTTTTTAAGGGTTTTTTTTTTTTTGAGAGGGACTCTCACTCTGTCACCCAGTCTGGAGTGTAGGGGCGCAATCATGGCACTGCAACCTCCGCCTCCTGGGTTCAGGCAATTCTCCTGCCTCAGCCTCCTAAGTAGCTGGGATTACAGGCGTCCGCCACCATACCTGGCGAATTTTTGTATTTTTAGTAGAGATGGGTTTTACCATGTTGGCCAGACTGGTCTCAAACTCCTGACCTCATGATCCACCCGCCTTGGCCTCCCAAAGTGCTGGGATTACAGGAGTGAGCCACCACGCCCAGCCTGTATGTGTTAATCTTTTATCTGTTTTTTGTTTTTCGTTTTTCTGAAAGTATTTTAAATGTGCATAAAATGTTTTCTCTACTGGCCGGGCGCAGTAGCTCAATCCTAACACTTTGGGAGGCCGAGGTGGGCGAATTGCCTGAGCTCAGTAGTTCAAGACCATCCTGGGCAACATGGTGAAACCCCTTCTCTACTAAAATACAAAAAATTAGCCAGGCATGGTGGTGTGTGCCTGTACTCCCAGCTATTGGGAAGCTGAAGCGGGAGAATCGCTTGAACCTGGGAGGCGGAGGTGGCAGTGAGCTGAGATCGTGCCACACTGCACTCCAGCCTGGGTGACAGAGCGAGACTCCATCTCAAAAAAATAAATAAATACAATGAAATGTTTTCTCTAAACTTATATAGTTTTGATAGTAAAACTCATTTTTGGTATACAGTTATTCTGACTCAGAATGGTTTTGTGTGTATCAAATAGCTGCATGAATTGAGAAAATATTCAAATATCTTACTTTTAAGACTACTGTTTAAGACTGTTCAATAAAATTTAGTAGTTTTACATTTGTTTTTGTTTTGTTGTTTAAAATAAACTAAGGCCAGGCGCGGTGGCTCATGCCTGTAATACCAGCACTTTAGGAGGCCGAGGTGGGTGGATCATTTGAGGTCAGGAGTTCAAGACCAGCCTGGCCAACATGGTAAAACCTCATATCTACTAAAAATACAAAAGTTTGCTGGCATGGTGGCTTGCGCCTGTAATCCCAGCTACTCAGGAGGCTGAGGCAGGAGGATCACTTGAACCTGGGGGAGGTGGAGGTTGCAGTGAGCTGAGATGGCGCTACTGCACTCCAGCCTGGCTGACAATAAATAGATCATAAATAAAATAAGCCACAGCTGATGTTTTTCACTATTTGTTTCAATAAAGGTATATTTCTCGTTGTAGTTTGGCTTTTCATAAAGTAATTTGATTCATAAAATGTGAACCTTAACTATCTTCAGATGCATTGTTCTGGGTTGGCATGGCATCCTGATGTTGCTACTCAGATGGTCCTTGCCTCCGAGGATGACCGGTTACCAGTGATCCAGATGTGGGATCTTCGATTTGCTTCCTCTCCACTTCGTGTCCTGGAAAACCATGCCAGGTATCGTGCTGCTGTTACAAAGAACTTGATTTGTTTATTTTCTGAACATGTCGGTGATGTTTTCGTGACCAGAAATACACCATAGGACACAGGAACTTTTTTTTTTAGATGGAGTTTTGCTCTGTCACTTAGGCTGGAGTGCAGTGGCAAGATCTTGGCTCACTGCAACCTCTGCCTCCCAGGTTCAAACGATTCTCCTGCCTCAGCCTCCTGAGTAGCTGGGATTACAGGCGCAAGCCACCATGCCAGGAAATTTTTATAGTTTTATAAAAATTTTATAGCTGGGATTACATGCATGCGCCACCACGCCCAGCTAATTTTCATAGTTTTAGTAGAGATGGGGTTTTACCATGTTGGCCAGGCTGGTCTCAAACTTCTGACCTCAAGTGATCTGCCCACCTTTGCCTCCCAAAGTGCTGGGAATACAGGCATGGGCCACCGTAGGAACTTAATGTTTATGTCAGTTATCAGTTAGTCTATGGTAAAATTGGTTTTGTTATCCATTGTTTTGCTTAAAGTCACAGTTCCTAAATTAAGTAACGACTTACTGCAGTTAGATTTCATGCCCATCCATAGGTAAAACATTTTACTGTACCTACGTTACTTGTGTGTGTGTGTGTGTGTGTGTGTGTATGCATGTATAATCCCAATATAATTTTTATACAAATAGGATAATTTGTGCATATAGTTAGATAACTTTTTTCGTTAATCATGAATACCATATAATGGTAAGAAGTTGATTTCCACAAAATGATACGTATATATTTTGAGATGGGGTCTTGCTGATTTGCCCAGGATAGAGCCACCATAGCTCACTGCAGCCATGAGCCTCTGGGCTCAAGTAATCCTCCTGCCTCAGCTTCATGAGTATGCCTGGAACTACAGGCACACGCCACCATAACTGGCTGATTTTCAAATTTTTTGGTAGAGACAGAGTGTCGTTATATTGCCCAGGTTGGTCTTGAACTCGTGGCCTCAAATAATCCTCCTGCCTTGGCCTCCCAAAGTGTATAGAATAATTTTTATCTACATATTTTCTCATGGAAGGGTGGTCTGTAATTTATTGTGAAATAGTCTGTTGGGCATTTGTTTTCACTTTTTTGCTGTCATACACTGCACTACATTGAACATCCATGTATTTGTAATGATCAGATAGCATATACGTTACTAAGTTGCTTCTGAAAATATTGCATTTATTTTATTTTTATTTCTTTTTTTGTTTTTCTTTTTTTATTTTATGTTGAGATAGAGTCTCACTCACTCTGTTGCCCAGGCTGAAGTGCAGTGGCTCAATCTCAGCTCACTGCAGCCTCCACCTCCCAGGTTCAAGTGATTCTCCTACCTCAGCCTCCTGAGTAGTTGGCATTACAGGTGTGAGCCAATGCGCCCGGCGCTGAAACTCTTGCATTTAATTGTATTTCTGTTAACAATGTGTGAATCTACAAAACCTAGGCAGAAATAGTTGAGATTTGGTTTTCTCAAGATTAAAAATTTCCTTGTTCCTTTATGTTTTTTATAGGGGGATTTTGGCAATTGCTTGGAGCATGGCAGATCCTGAATTGTTACTGAGCTGTGGAAAAGATGCTAAGATTCTCTGCTCCAATCCAAACACAGGAGAGGTATGGGCAGGAAATGTGTCTCAACCTTGTAGCCCTTATAGTATGTTACTTCTGGCTACATAAGAAATTTTCTGTGTGGATTCTTTAGTGGATTACTATGTGAAGAGTATGTGGACGTGTGTGTGCAGTGTTTATTTGGCAGCAATTTTATCAGGAACATAATCTAAACTCAGCTTTTTAACCAGAAAAATCAGTAATTCAAATAGTATATTTTAAACTAGTAACCATCCCCTCCTCATTTCCAATAATGTGTTTATTACCTAGACTCAGAAATACTTTGATTTATTTCACATGTGGTTTATGGGAATCAGTATCTTCGATGTAGGATTGTTCAAGGTTTGCATCTTTTGCCTGCTTTACCGTTCCTGAGGATCCTCTTTCACTTCTGGAAATCAGTAGATACAGTTTTCCAATCTCTCTTCTGAATGATAAAGCAAGAATATAAATTATAGCTTTTATATTTTTACCTTTTTTATGTGAAGGTAGATGATTGCTAGTGCTTATGTAGTTTGATGGAATGCTAATAAAAATAAAGAGTGTCTTCGATAAGTTTTCATCTATATTGTTAAAATTAAAACAAGCCCTTTAGTTATTTGGTTTCTGGTTTAAGAGTTGTGGATGTAACAATATAGAATCATTAACATTAGGGGAGACAAGAGAAAAAAAATTAATAAATTTTACCGCATATCATTTGTAGGACAGATAACAAAAATCTTAATTTTACACTGTGCCTTGCCAAGTAAATTCAAAATTCATGGAACTTACTATTCTGTTATCATTTTCTCTGTAATATAATTTAATTAGATGAATTTTTGCCTGTGATTAGTTGTGTGTGCTTGGACTTTGAAGGAAGAGACTTTTAGTACATGCTACAACTAAAAAATTGGATTTTGTTGGCCGGGTGCAGTGGCTCAGGCCTGTAATCCCAGCACTTTGGGAGGCTGAGGCGGGCAGAGCACGAGGTCAGGAGATCGAGACCATCCTGGCTAACACGATGAAACCCTGTCTCTACTGAAAAAAAAAAAAAATACAAAAAAATTAGCTGGACGTGGTGGCGGGCGCCTGTAGTCCCAGCTACTAGGGAGGCTGAGGCAGGAGAATGGGATGAACCTGGGAGGCGGAGCTTGCAGTGAGCCCAGATCGCACCACTGCACTCCAGCCTGGGTGACAGAGTGAGATTCCATCTCAAAAAATAAATAAATAAATAAAAATTGGAATTTGTTCAAATGCAAATAAAGGATAGATAAATCATCTAAGTTTTATCAAACCACACATCTTATCAAACAAAATAAATACCAAAGACGTGAGCAGGCTAAATACCTTTTCAATTAATTCTATTTTTTAATAAAATGAAACATTTTAAATGTCACGTGGGCCACTTGTGGTGGCTCAGACCTGTAATCTCAGCACTTTGGGAGGCAAGGCAGGCTGGTGAAACCCCATCTCCACAACAAATACAAAAATTAGCTGGGTGTGGTGGCGTGTTCTGTAGTCCTAGCCACTCGGGAGGCTGACATAGGAGGATCGCTTGAGCCCAGGAGGTCAAGACTCCAATGAGCTGTGATTGCGCCACTGCACTCCAGCCTAGTCATCAGTGTGAGACCCTGTCTCAAAAATAAAAAAAAGAAAAAGGAAAAAGAAGGTCACATGAAGCCAGAGTTAAGTTCATTTGACTTATCATAAAGTCCTAAGATGTTGCTTCTGTGAGTAGCAGTTAACCACCATACTAACTTTGAGTTCACAACAAGGATTACATTGTGAAGGTTTCATATAAGCCATTTTCTATTTATTTATTTATTTTTTTTAGTACTATTAATTATTTTTTTGTCAGGGTCTTGCTGTGTCTCCCAAGCTGGAATGCAGTGGCACCATGACGGGTCACTGAAACCTTGACCTCTTGGGCTCCATCAGTCCTCCCACCTCAGCCTCCCAGCTAACAGGGACTACAGGCGTGCAGCACCGTGCCTGGCCAATATTTTGTATTTTTTTGTAGAGATGGGGTTTTGCCATGTTCCCCATGCTGGTCTTGAACTCCTGGGCTCAAGCATTCTGCCCACCTCAGCCTACCAAAGTGCTAGGATTATAGGCGTGAACCACCATGCCCAGCCTCATGTAGGTCATTTTCTATAGTTCTTTCTCTGTCATTTTCTTTCTAAAGGAAGCTGTTAATGCCGAATTCTGTTAGGATTCTGCAGTGATAGGAAGGTTGTGTATAGTACATGTTTTCTCTCGTGATTAAAAGTCAGATTTCTTAGTGAATTCTTCCTTCTCAAGATTGATTTTAAAATTTGATCCTCAAGTAACCTAAATATGGTTGTTGTTTGGGTCTTACCAGACAAAAACAATTGGACAGGACATCACTAATCTTTTAGAGTTTAAAAAGTTGGCCCTAGGCCGGGTGCGGTGGCTCACGCCTGTAATCCCAGCACTTTGGGAGGCCAAGGCGGGCGGATCACTTGAGGTCAGCAGTTCAAGGCAAGCCTGGCCAACGTGGTGAAACGCCATCTCTATTAAAAATGCAAAAATTAGCCGGGCATGATGATGGGCGCCTGTAATCCCAGCTGCTTGGGAGGCTGAGGCAGAATAGTTGCTTGAGCCCAGGAGGTGGAGGTTGCAGTGAGCTGAGGCTGCTGCCATTGCACTCCAGCCTGGGCGACAGAGCGAGACCCTGTCTCAAAAAAGAAAAAAAAAAGTTGACTCTAATAGAGTGTGCTGGTCTTTCAAATGCATCCATTATTTTGAACACAGAAAAGCCTCAGTTTTTAAAATGCGTTTATTCAAATCTGATTGAAATTTTAAGCTGCATTCCTGTTAATCAGAATAGGTCATCGTAATGGATCATTCTTGCACTTTAAAAAATCTTAGTATTCTTTTTCCTGGCTAAAGATACTTTCTACAAAAAAATATTCAATTTAACTATACTTGTTGACCACATTAATTCAGGTGTTTTGGTTACAAAGTGGCCATACCATTTTCTGAGTTTTGTTGTTTGTTTTTTGTTGGCCTAGGTGTTATATGAACTTCCCACCAACACACAGTGGTGCTTCGATATTCAGTGGTGTCCCCGAAATCCTGCTGTCTTATCAGCTGCTTCGTTTGATGGGCGTATCAGTGTTTATTCTATCATGGGAGGTAGCACAGATGGTTTAAGACAGAAACAAGTTGACAAGGTAATAGGAAGTGTTAAAGTTTTCTATTATAATGCCTGAAAAAAGTATGTGTTGTGTAATATTTTGAAATGACTTCACTGATTAACAATGCTGGTTAATTGGACAATTGTGATCAAAAATTTTTTTGGATATGACTGGAAAAAAATGAAACTTTGTGTATGGTCGGATGCTTATGTTATTATTATCTTTTTTAGCTTTCATCATCTTTTGGGAATCTTGATCCCTTTGGCACAGGACAGCCCCTTCCTCCGTTACAAATTCCACAGCAGACTGCTCAGCATAGTATAGTGCTGCCTCTGAAGAAGCCGCCCAAGTGGATTCGAAGGCCTGTTGGTGCTTCTTTTTCAGTAGGTGGATTTTGTTTTTATGGTCCATAGGCACAAAGGACTTTTTATACCAAAGTGTTATTATAGAGTCACTCTGATGGAAGCAATCAGGGTTTAAGTTGGGATTTGAGATGTACTTGTGGGTATTTCATCATTCAAAATGGTTTCTCTGAAAAATTGGAACCTACTCTTTTTTTTCCCTTTTTTAAAAATCATGGTAAAATATACATAAAATTGATCATTTTGTTCATTTTTAAATATACAGTTCAATGGCATTAAGTACATTTACATTGTTGTTGTGTAGCCAACACTTTATATTCCTCCCCTCCTCCATTTTTTTGTTTGTTTGTTTGTTTTTTTGAGACAGTCTCACTCTGTTGTACAGGCTGGAGTGCAGTGGCACAACCTTGGCTCACTGCAACCTCCGCCTCCTTGGTTCAAGCGATTCTCCTGCCTCAGCCTCCTGGGTAGCTGGGATTACAAGCACGTGCCACCACACCTGGCTGGTTTTTGTATTTTTAGTAGAGATGGGGTTTTACCATGTTGACTGGCCTGGTCTTGAACTCCTGACCTCAGGTGATCCACCCGCTTCGGCCTCCCAAAGTGCTGGGATTACAGGCATGAGTCACTGCACCCGGCCCTCCTCCCTTTTAAATTTGTCTTCCTTCTCTCTCTCTCTGTCTCTCTTTCCCTCCCTCTGTCTCTCTTTCCCTCCCTCCCTCCCTTCTTTTTCTTTTCTTTTCTTCTTTTTTTCTTTTCTTTTTGCAGGGAGTGTCCTCCCTCTTCTTCATCCTTTTAGCTTTCTTTTTTAATTGCCAGCTTTTTTTAATGGTAAAAAATGCATAATATAAAATTTTAATTGTAAAAAATGCATAATATAAAATTTACTATCTTAACCATTTTAAAATATACACTACAACCATTTTTAAATATATACTACAGTAGTGTTAACTATATACACGTTGTTGTGCAACAGATCTCTAGAACTTTCTCATCTTGCAAAACTGAAACTCTGTGCCCTTGAACAACAGCTCCCCATTTCCTGTTTCCCTTGAATCCCTGGTAACCACATTCTACTTTGTTGCTAGGAGTTTTCTACTTTAAATTACTCATATAAATGGAATCATGCAGTACTTGTCTTTTTGTGGCTGGCTTATTTTACTTAGCTTAATGTCCTCAAGGTTTATCTGTGTTGTAGTGTGACAGAATTTACTTCTTTTTAGAGGCCAAATAATATTGCATTGTATATATATATATATATATATATATATATATATATATATATATATATACCACATTTTTTTTTATCCATTCATTTGATGGTCATTTTGGTTGCTTCCACCTTTTGGCTATTGTGAATAAATGCTGTGGTGAACATGGGTTTGTAATTATCATTTTGGGATCCTGCTTTCAGTTTTTTGGGACATATACCCAGAAGTGGGATTGCTGGATCATAGGATGGTTCTATTTTTAAGTTTTTGAAGAACCTCCATACCATTTTATAGCCGTTTTACCATTTTACATTCTCACTAGTGGTGCACAAGGGTTCTAGTTTCTCCACATCCTCTCTAGCACTTTTTGTTTGTTTCTTCCTTTTACATTGCTGATACCTTGCCTAATTCTTTCATGCCAAACTTCTAATAGCTTGATTTCATATTTGTTGCTTGTCTTTTCCCCCTCTAATCTCTACTACATATTCCAAGATTAATCTTCCTAAAATGGACCTTTGAATATGTTTTATGTCACTCGTAAGTCTGTTCTTTGGATCTGCTTAATCTTCTCATCGTCCTATCTGGTCTTCTCTATCTGGGTGGATCACTTGAGGTTAGGAGTTCAAGACCAGCCTGGCCAACATGGTGAAACCCTGTCTACTAAACATACAAAAGTTAGCCAGGCATGGTGGCCGGCACCTGTAATCCCAGCTACTCAGGAGGCTGAGGCAGGAGAATCACGTGAACCCAGGAGGCAGAGGTTGTAGTGAGCCAAGATCCCACCTTTGCACTCCAGCCTGGGTGACTAAGAGCGAAACTCTGTCTCAAAAAAAAAAAAACCAAAAAACCAAAAAAGTACATTTCATCTAGAACAGAAATTGAAGTGGTGTCAGACTGTGGCGCATGAGAGGTTGTATCAACTAATTTCATCCAGATTATCTGTTTAGGCCACTTTATAAGCACTTTTTTTGGCCATATCCTTGGGTTAACACTGAGTTTGTTCATTCTCTCTTTTATAGTTTGGAGGCAAACTGGTTACGTTTGAGAATGTCAGAATGCCTTCTCATCAGGGAGCTGAGCAGCAGCAGCAGCAGCACCATGTGTTCATTAGTCAGGTTGTAACAGAAAAGGAGTTCCTCAGCCGATCAGACCAACTTCAGCAGGCTGTGCAGTCACAAGGATTTATCAATTATTGCCAAAAAAAAATTGATGCTTCTCAGACTGAATTTGAGAAAAATGTGTGGTCCTTTTTGAAGGTAAAGTTGCTGTTTAAAGCTATATTATTTCATTATCTGCAAATTTAACTGTTCCTTTATATTCTAAATCTGTCCTCCTATTAAAGAAACAATTGAAAAAGTGTGATTTCAGCAATTCATCATGAAATTAAGAAGCCTTATAAAGAGCATACAACCTAACTTATGTCCAGAGTTTTTCCTTCTCTGCTTTGAAAAGTGTAATATGAAATACATTTTTAATAAGTAAAAAAAAATAATAATAGGTCTGTTTAGAGGAGAGCGACATAGTCAGCACACCTATTTTGAAGATGAGTACATAGAGTTTACTATAATGAAAACAGAATATTTAACATCTATAGTAGATCTAGTTAAGGAAAATGAAAAAAGAGGAAGAGGAATAGAGGAGAGAGGTTGGAGGCATTTTTCCTTTTACTTTAAGAGGAGTTAGATTAGAATAACAAATAGAATTTCCTGGTTGGTCATTTTGCCTCCACTGGAATGTCTGTTTCTTTATACGGTACTGGTTTTTCAAAGGTAAAGCAGTCTTGAATACAGTTAGGTTAAAGTATAAAATTAAAGAATTTATATTTTGTAATAATTTTGGGAAAGAATTTTAGGACATAGAATATTCCACATAGTTTGAGTTTTGTATCAGTTTAACCTTTGGACATAAGTTTGTATTTACAGAAATTACTGTTCAAAAGTAAGCTTTATTCAACCAGGATAATTAATTACTAGTATATTTACTATTAATAAATAACTTATTTAAAAAAATAATTCTGGGCACATGTTCTCAGGACCTCCTGAGGCTGGGTCTCCAAATAAAAAACAAAAAAACCCACTATTCTTTGGATTCCTTCAAACAGTGAATCTTTAGAATGTAGACTTCAGATATTTTTAATAATTCTCTTTGGAATTTGATTCATTCTTATAAAAATTCGGCCTTTAAATGTAGGTCTTTGTTTTAAGAATATGTCTTTTTTTTTAAAGGTAAACTTTGAGGATGATTCTCGTGGAAAATACCTTGAACTTCTAGGATACAGAAAAGAAGATCTAGGAAAGAAGGTAAACTTTTGGGAAAGTTAGATGGCATGCTCTTTATGAATCATACTTTTAAAAAATAAAGTTCTACACAGATTATCTCAAATCACCCAATAAACATTTAATAATAATTTGTGTTTGGTTGCCAGCGTTTTTTCCCTTTTTCTTTTTCTTATTCTCCATCATTACCCACAGTGGTTGCCAGAGTTTTGAATACATATTGATAAATGACTATGTAACTTGTATTAGCCTTTCATCATTCTTTGGAAATGGCTAGAGTTTTCTATAGCATTGCAGGTTGTTGCATGTGTGGTAGAGGTATACTGTGCACTTTAAGTGCATATTGAAGATTAGTGCTCTTTTGATGTCAGGCAGAACTAACTAAGATCACATCACAACCCCACTGCTTAGTGGCTATGTCTTTGCTCACTCCTTTAGAGTTTTATATTTAACTTTATTAGTAGTCTAAACTTCTTGAGGCTGTAACTTTTTTAGGCTTGTAAGAGATTGATATGAAAGTTTTACTTGCATGCCTGATGGCAAAAAATGAGGAAATAGAATGATTGTCGGATTATTTCTAATTACTTCCATGTGAAAGAAGCTAGCACCATGGAGAACCAGTTCTGCATAGCTTTTTTAATTTTTTTAAACATACTATTCCTATAAGAACTTTTGTGGATTTTCGCCAGTGAGAAGCAAGAGGTGAACATTTGCTGGATGCTCTGAAATAGAATTCCATGTAGTAGGTGAGCTGTTATTTTTATTTCAGATTGCTTTGGCCTTGAACAAAGTGGATGGAGCCAATGTGGTAAGAAGGCCTTTAAAAATAGCTACCTTCTAAAACTTTGGCTAGGTCATAACGAAGAAGGAAATATCATTTAAGAAATTTGTGTTTTATGCTTTATGGTATAAAAATAAATGCTTATTCTAGATATTTTAATAAATTAATAATTCTCATTTTAAAATAACATGAGCTTAGCTGGTAGAGCATTCCTTTCTCTTGACATACATATTTGAATTTTGTAAAGCAGGAAAAACAGAATTAATGACTACTCAAATACTTAAGATAAAATTTTTTTTTTTTTTTTTGGCCAGGAAAAAAAAAATGGTAGGAAAGAATGGGAAAGTGGGCCGGGTGTGTTGGCTCATGCCTGTAATCCCAGCACTTTGGGAGGCCGAGGCAGGTGGATCACCTGAGGTCAGGAGTTCAAGACCAGCCTGACCAACATGGTGAAACCCTGTCTCTACTAAAAATACAAAAATTAGCTGGGCGTGGTGGCACATGCCTGTAATCCCAGCTACTTGGGCGGCTAAGGCAGGAGAATTGCTTGAACTGGGAGGCGGAGGTTGCAGTGAGCCGGGATCGTGCCACTGAACTCCAGCCTGGGCGACAGAGTGAGACTCGGTCTCAAAAAAAAAAAAAAAAAAAAAAAAAAGAATGGGAAAGTGTTAGCAGTAATAGTTCTTTGCTTTTCCTCTAATGGTATTTCTCAAATAAATTTACTCACTGTTGCTTCTTATGATTAAACTAGCTCTGAATGTTGTTGGTTGGGTCTTTTGTCTTCCTGGTTCACTAATAGCCTTTTAATACTACATTCTTCACCTTCCCCTGTAATTGTTTTGTGTACCAAAGGCTCTTAAAGACTCTGACCAAGTAGCACAGAGTGATGGGGAGGAGAGCCCTGCTGCTGAAGAGCAGCTCTTGGGAGAGGTACTTATTTTTTTTTCATATTATATTGGACAAATTTGTGATATTTGTGTATCTCACATTAAAATAAGGAAAATTTTCTTGACTACTTATGGCAAAATAAAGTTGAAGTAAATTGTTTTCTTTGAGATGTTTAGGATAGGAATCTATCTACCTATACTGACAGAAGTATCATCTCCAGACTCTAGTTCTCCAACCTTGTTTCTGGATTATATGGTTTAAAACTAACAGTTGATGTGAGATTAACATAATTTGGTCAGATGACTCTCAGGATGTCAAACTGAAAAGAGATTTTATTCAAACATCCTCACTGCATTGCATTGCATGTAAAGTTAATGTTTTTCTTGGCCTATAATTTTGGGCCAACTATCAGTGGCTAATAGGCCTCTGAATTAGTACTGAACATGGAGTTGAAGTAAAGGATATTTCACTAAACTTATTGTCATGATTTTCAATAAATGTGTCCTTAGTTGATAATTTTTGTAAATAATTGAGAAGAGTCCTTGAACACAGAGTTACATCATTAATTTTTCCTTTTAATTTTCTGGGTGTTTTTTTTTTTTTAACCACTAATGAACAAATCTGTAATTTACTTTTCTTGCTTTCTAATTTTATTTCATCTTGGAAAATTAATCAACAAGTTCTTCTCATCTCATCTTTGGCTTTTTCATTGTTCTTTGTGATATCTTGACTATGGAATGTTATGTATAATTTTTTACTAAGTTATAAAAATAAGTAAATTTAGTCTATTACAAGATGATTGCAAAAATCATTCTCCTTAGAAGTGGATCTCCTAGAGTTTAATTAACAAGGGAATAAAGGATATGGATAAAATCTTTACTAAAACTTTGAACTAGGC